>NT_187658.1:381566-572349 GCF_000001405.40 Homo sapiens | reverse complement strand
CTGACCCCTTGCACTTCCCGGGTGAGGCAATGCCTTGCCCTGCTTCAGCTCATGCTTGGTGGGCTGCACCCACTGTCCTGCCCCCACTGTCTGACAATCCCCAGTGAGACTAACCTGTTACCTCAGTTGGAAATGCAGAAATCATTTGTCTTCTGCATCGCTCACGCTGGGAGCTGTAGACTGGAGCTGTTCCTCAGACTTGTTTTTTTTCTAAGATAAAAATACTTTAATGTGTATGCTGTTTTCTTCAGTTAATAATTTGAAAAGACTGCATTTATATGGTGAAATTCTCAGGACCCTCAATTCTTTATAGATAGGCTAAATTATTTGTATCATTACTTGCAAACCTTCTTGAATGTGGTGGAGGTTATGTTAAGAAATAAAGTTTATATAATGTCTAATTTCATATTGTAATTGCATTCTTCCACAAAGTTTTTGAAATCCCTTGTATTTCAAACCCATCTGGAAGAGCAGGATCAGATTCTAATGTGTACAACACAGGATCCTCTCATCAAAATGATCAAGTGGCCTGTGTTTAGGATTTCCAGTGGCAGACCCACACACAATGCCTTTAACGAGGTATCCTGAAGTTATCACTATCCCTGAGCCAAAACTGAATGATGTCACAAAAGTTATTCGAGGCCTGAAATGATAAGTGGCAGCTGTTAATACTGACTAACCTGCATTTTCCATAAAAAGATGAAATGATGGGCAGAAACTACTTGATATAACAGAGAAGTCAGTGGATGAAAAGAGAGCTACCAACACAAACTCAGTAAAAATACTTTGGAAATACAGTATATTGATCCAAATTTTAAAAACAAACATAAAATGAAAGGAGTAAGAAGAATTATAGATGCTTACTTAGAAGAGTCGATTTAAGAAAATTCCCAAAATGTATTTATAAAGAAGCCAGACATAAGATGAAAAATAAACACAGGGAAGATTATTTAGAACAGAAAATGTCAACAAATACATTTTAGAAAGCGAGTCTTGAGAAATTAGTTTCAGAATATTGCAAAAATAAAAAAAATTTCTGTTTGGAAGAAGAATCTGGGAGACAGCACATGTACTAAGAAATAGATCAGTGCAATACCCTTGAGGCTTTTATGTGGGTTCCTGACTATCTTATTGGGATATATAATTGTGGCCACTCATTGTAAGTGGGAGTGATTAAAAATTTTTCCTAGAAGAATAACTGAATGTAGTGACTCATGTCTGTTATCCCAGGACTTTGGGAGGGTGAGTTGGATGGATCCCTTGAGGCCAGGAGTTTAAGACCAGCCTGAGCAACAAATTGTGGATCCATCTCTTCAAAAAATTTTTAAATAAATTAAAAAATAATAAACGGGCATGGTGGGTGTCATGAACCTGTAATTCAAGCTACTCAAGTGGTTGAAGTGGGGGGAATCCCAAGAGCACAGGAGTTCTAGGATGCTGGAATCCATGATCAGGACACCACCCTCCAGCTTGGGTGACAGAGCGAGAGCCTATATTTATATATATATAATCTTGTAAGACATAAAGTCCAAACTGTATCTGATCAAACATTCTAATAAAGGGGAAGAGCAAGAAAAAATTCTTAAAGACATGAAGTAGGATGGCTCATTCAAGAACTTCTATTCATTCTGTTCATTTCTAGAAACCTCTGGTAGATTTTGTGTCCAACTTTGTTTTAACCTCTCCACGAATATTAATAATAGAATTCGTTAAGACACCTGTATCCTAAAACACCGAGACTTTTCTGATCGGAGCCAGATCCAAGGAATATTGGACAATCTGTGTGGGTCCGACCGGGCTGAGGGCCAACCTTCTGTCAGCCATGAATGGCCAGGTTTGTGTTGTCTGCACATAGCTCAAAGTTCTAAAGACATAACCTCTATATAATCAAATATTTAGCGAAATATGATAGGCATAGGTATACAAAACTCCACAGCCAACCTACCTCTTGTTCCTTAGAATATGATTGTGTTCAGAAAATAGCCCTAAGAAGAGGTGATCAAGCTAAAATGAGGGAGTTTCAGTGGAACTAAATCCAATAAGATGAATGTCCTTAGAAAAAGTGGAAATTCCTTATAAGAACTGGAAATTTGCACACAGAGAGACACAAGAAGTACGTAGGCACAGACGCAGCCCCATGGGAGGACACAGCAAGAAGGTGATATCTAGATGCCAAGTAGACAGGGCCAAGAAGAACTGGACCTGCTGACACATTCACCGTGGAACTTGAGCATCCAGAAGTGTCGGAAAATAATTTCTGTTGCTTAAGAATATTAGTCTGTGATATTTTGCTTGGACAGGTATAATGAAGAAATTCAGGGGAGAGCAGGTTTTAGGAGGCAGAAATTAAGAGTCCTGCTTAGTGCAGGAGTGTAATGTAAACGGTATGGTTACATTATTTTAAATGGCAAGTGGATTGCTGACGTCCTTGACTCATGGACAAATGCCTAAGCTTTTGTTGCCATCTTGCTCCTTGCTTTTACCCCATCCTAAATCAGTGACACTGTCTCCATCAGTTCTTTGGTAACCTCTATTTTGCTTGTCTCTGGTAGCTTGATATCTGATATTTAGTCCTTCCTGATATGCTAATCTCTTTCACTCATTTCTGACATAGGAGAAGGTCAGGGCATGAGTTGAGTGATATTTGGAAGGATCACCTCTTGCCTTGCTGTACTCAGCAGACAAGGAGAAGTCTGTCTCTAACCAGGACTGCAGCTTCCCCACTGATTCCCACAAGGAGTCACATCTGCCTGGCTCTCCCCTCTGCTTCTTCTCTCTTGCGTTTCTTTCCTTCCTGATGGGCCACCATAAGCTACCTAGGCCAGACTGCCCATCAACAGCTTCCTTTTCAAACAATGTTTGGTGAAACCAGAGAAAATCATTCAATAACATCAGGACACCAGATTGGCCCAAGCACTCTGTGTCTCTCTGAAAGAATGTGAATCTCAGTTACAAATGTTAAACTTTCTATGTAACTGGAGAATATTTGGCCACTGGTATTATATTCCATCTTCAGAAAACATCCCTATTTATCCTAAGAGAAAAACAAGACAGCAATCTGCCTAGTCAGCTGCAAAATTCTAAGTTACCTCTAGTAGAGCTTATTGTATCAGGATGCCTTCCTATATGCAGTGGGTTGTTCAAATGTTGAAGGAAAAGGTATATCCTATTAAGAAACACCATGAATGGATTCCAATGTTTTGGCACCAAAATGAAATCATAATCTTTTGCTATAACATGTCTGAACAGGAGCTAGTATGAGGCATCAAGAAAAATAAGAGCAGTTTCAAAAGAGCCCCTAGAAGACCAACATGAATTTTTCTAAAATTAAAGTGAGTATAAACATCAAATTTATGGTGAAGCTTGGGTGGAGGAAGGCAAAATCATTGATGGTGTCCAAAGAGTTGTCCTACTTGACACGTGGTAAGTTGACATTGGTTGAAGAAGTCAGCAGTTCACAAATTCAATGAGGAGTTCATTTCAAGAAGGAATGAGGCAATGTTGAACCTAAAGCTTATCGTGACAGATGATTCACATCATATTGCAAGGAATAAATTCATCTTCTTTATACCCAGGAGAAGAGGTGTGATGATTAGCAGCTCACACAATAACCAACACTGCAGACTTCTCAGTTGGTTCAGTTTACATGAATCTAACTGAATGATTAAAGTTTAGTAAGCTTTTCACTTAATGGATGCCCAAACTGTGTCACCAAGATCAAGTACAGACAAGAGCAGAACTTTCCCTAAAAATTTAAATAGGAAGAACGAAGACCATAAGCATTTCTTCAATGAATTATAAGAGGAGATAACACATGACTTTACCAGTAAAATCCAGAAAACAAATACAATCAAAGCAATGGCTACCAAGAGGCGGAAATGTCCAGTCAAAACAAAAGTGGATGAGGAGAGCACAAAGATCTTGGCAAGAGTTTATTGGAAAGCTCAAGTCATTTTGCTGGTTGACTTTCTGGAGAATGACAGTATCTCCTTATTCTGAGAATATTTTGAGAAAGTCAAAGCTTTACTAGATGAATCCCTGGGAAAGCTTCAGCAGAGTCCTTCACCACAACCTTCCTCCTGCTCATTTCTCTTATCAAACAGGGCAATTATATGAGAGTTCTCATGGTAAATCATTAGGCTTTCACATTACTGAGAAGTGATGCCAGGTGGACTTCCTGGGTCCACTGTGGACTTGGAGAACTTTTCTGACTAGCTAGATGATTGTAAATGCACCAATCAGTGCTCTGGGTCTAGTTAAAGGACTGTAAATGCACCAATCCACACTCTGTAACAATGCACCCATGAGCCCTCTGTGTCTAGCTAAAGGATTGTACATGCACCAATCAGCACTCTATAAAAATGCTCCAATCAGTGCTCTCTGTCTAGCTAAAGGATTGTGAATGCACAAATCAGCACTCTGTAAAAATGAACCAATCAGCACTCTGTGTCTAACTAAAAGATTGCAAACGCACCAATCAGCAGCCTGTAAAATGGACAAATCAGCACTCTGCAAAATGGACCAATCAGCACTCTGCAAAATATACCAATCATCGGGATGTGGGCAGGGCCAAATAAGGGAATAAAAGCTGGCCAACTGAGCCAGCAGTGGTAACTTGTTTGGGTCCCCTTCCATGCTGTGGAAGCTTTGTTCTTTTGCCCTTCACAACAAATCTTGCTGCTGCTCAGTCTTTGGGTCTGCACTACCTTCATGAGCTGTAACACCCACGAGAGGGTCTGCGGCTTCATTCCTGAAGTCAGTGAGACCATCAACCCACTAGGAGGAACAAACAACTTTGGACACAGCTTTAAGAGCTGTAACACTCACTGAAAAGGTCTGCAGCCTCACCCCTGAAGTCAGTGAGAACAAGAACCCACTGGAAGGAAGAAACTCCAGACACATCTGCACATCTGAAGGAACAAACTATGGACACATCATCTTTAAGAACTGTAACACTCACTGCAAGCATCCGCAGCTTCATTCTTGAAGTCAGCGAGACCAAGAACCAACTGGAAGAAAACAATTTTGGACATATTACAACCCTAATTTGGTTTCTTTCATTTTTTTTTGTTTTGTAATCTTATAACATTTGTAAAAGGCATCCATTTTCCTTCAGTTAATAATGTAAAAAATACATATCAATAGCTGGCATGTTGACCAAAATGTATGACAAGTGGTCAATAATTTGTGTCTTTTTATATAGCTCATTAACAAGTAGGATTGGGAAATGGTTGTAAACTGAGTACCAGGTGGTAGAATTGAAGGAAACTTCCCATGTAACACTTTAGTTTTTGCTCTATTCCAAAGACAACAGGAGGTAAAGGGTTAAAGATGCCCCAAAGCTGTTGCACACCTTTGGGGAGACTTAAAATTCACGTGTTTATTCAGTTGAGTCTTAGGCTGTGACTACAATGCTTGAATTAGACAGTAAATGTGTCTTACTTACTTGCATGAAGACACTTTGTTCACATCTCTCTTATCACTTCTTTTCCTCTACTCGGATCTCAGTTCCTTTAAGGATTCGGGCTGGGCCTGAGATGACCTGGCTCAAAAAGGACTAAAGGCCCTACGTACTCATCTCCAAATCTTGCAAAAATATCAAGGAGGGTAGAAACATAAGTATTTATAGCTCTATTGCCTATACTTGCTCAATTCACCATTGTACTTGATTCTGTCAGAGTAGGGGAAGGTGTGCTGAGGATACAGGAAAGAGCTACAGTGGCATATAAGGGGAAAGAAAGGAAGAGACTGCAAGTCTGTTGAATCCATAGACACTGGAGTTGTGTTTAAACGAGGTAGACCCTGGGGCTAGAAGCCAAGGTGGGGGGAAAAAAGCTTTTCAGTTGCAGTAGTCATTTATTATTATTATTGTTATTATTAGTATTATTATTTCTTTTTAGAGACAGGGACTTGTTCTCTCACTTAAGCTGGAGTACAGTGGTGCAATCATGGCTCACTGCAGTCTTGAACTCCTGGGATCAAGCAATTCTTCCAGATCACCCTCTGAATTAGATGGCACTACAAGTGCCAATCGCCATGCGAGGTTGATTTTGTAAATTTTGTTGTATACATGGGGAGATCTTGCTATATTGTTCAGGCTGATCTTGAATTCCTGACATCAACAATCCTCCAATCTCAGCCTCCAAAAGTAGTGGGATTACAGTCATGAGCCAGCATGCTGGGTGTATAGTCACTCTTTCTACCTCAGCCTCATTTTCCTGCATTCTGTAAATCCCCATCAGAAGAGAGCAGGGCTGCCTGGCTACTGGGATAGCCTCTAAGAAGCCAATGTTAAACTCTGTGGTTCTTGTAGAGGAAAAGAAAAAAGAAGTCCTTGAGTTCAATTGAGCTTTGAGAAAATGGGGTACAAAACATGAAAAGTTAGGAAGACATTGTGGATAAGGCCCTTGGGACCCATTCAGCACACTTTTCTGTGTTTTTAATTTTATAAGTGTGTATTATGTGAAATACTTACACTCTTATCTCATAAGAGCCAAGGAGAATCATCCACATAGAAGCTTCAAGCAGAATAACGTCAGTGGGATTAACTCTTCTGCCAGTGGAGCCAGTGGGTGGATCACGATGCAGCCTGAGTGCCTCCACCCTTCAATGTCCAAAGCTTGCCTTGTTGAACTTTTTGTGTATTGTAAACACAGAAAAATGCCCATGTGAGGCATAAAATTGAAAATTACTCAATATACTTTTACAAACCGTAAACAATTGACCAACTGTTAATGAAGGGTATAATCAAGATACGACAACCTTGAAACAACTTGGATATGGAAATGATCAGACTTTAAAGCAGCTCTTATAGCCAACTTTTCTGAGGTAAATGTGAACACTCTCAAAATAAATGGGAAAAAGCTTCTCAGCAGAAAAAGGAACTATAGAAAATAATAAAATAGAAATTTCAGAACTAACATATATAAGTCTAAAATTTGAAAAAAGACCTTATAGACTGTGAAAGTTTTTCAGAAAGTAAATGATCAAGGTGTTTGAAGACAAAAAACTAAATTAACCAAGTCAAATCCAAGAAGAGACATCTTAGAAGAAATGAACCTGTTAACACCTTGATCATGGAATGTGAGCCTCCAGAACTGTGAGAAAATTAATTTCTGTTGTTCAAATTACACAGTGTGTTTTGTTTTTTTTAAGGGCAGAGATAACAAACTACATCAGGGGAGAGCAGTTTAGGATGCAGAAATCAAGGATCTTATTTGGGACATGTTATGTTTGCATCCATATTAGAAGGCAAGTGGATTGCTGAGAGCTTCAACTGACCAAAAGGTGCCTGAGCTCCTGCTGCAGGCCTGCTCCTTGCTTTGACCCCATCCTTACTCCCTGACAGGGCCTCTTTCAGCTCCTCTGTCATCTCTGTTTTATTTGTGTGTGGAGATTTCATAGTTAATATTTATTCTTCCCTAATAAACTAATCTCTTTCACTCATTGCTGACATTGGACAATGTCAGAGAAAGGGCCTGAGAGGAGTGATATTTGAAGGCAATGCCTGCTGTCTTCCTGTACTCACCAAGCCAAGGGGGAGCCTTTCTTTCACCAGGACTATGACTTCTACAGCAACCTATGCAATGAGGCAAGTCTGCAAGGCACTCCCCTCTGCTCCTTCCCTCGGATCTTCCTTTCCCACTAAAAGGTCTACCATAAGTCACTAGGCAGGACCATTCATCTCCAGTTTCCCTGTCTAATCAGTGTGTGTGGAAACCAATGATAGTCATCCCAATATCATTAGGGCACCCGCTAGGACAAGCAACTACTTTATGCCCACCCCTAAAGCACATAAAGCCAAACTACACATGTTTTATTATTGCATAGCCAAAGAAGAATTGCTAACTGGTAATATATTTCCTCTTTAGCAAACATCCCTAATATTCCAGAAGGGGTGAGGGAGGAAAACAACAGTCTGTCTAATCACCAGCCAATGGCAGAGTAATCTGCAACAACCCTCCTTGTATGAGGAAGGCTTCCAATAATATAAGGGATTTTCAAACTGTTTCTAGAAAATACTTATGACTTTTTAAAATTATGAGTGGATATAATCATTTTTTGTATCAAAATACATTTGTACTAACTTGTTACAACATGTCTGAACAGGATCTTGTTCAGTCACTAACATGGTTGAGAAAGCGGTTTGAAAACAGCCTCTATCAGAGCAGCAAAAATTCTACTAAAATTGTAGGAAAAACAAATTCAAGTTTATGGTGAAGCTTGGGTGGAGGGATGGTGACATCACTGATGCATTAGGACATATGTGTGCACAAGTAAATCAGCCCTTCAGAAAATGGATAATTCACTTTAAGAATCGATGAGATGATGGTGAAGGTAAAACTTGCAGCAGCAGAACATACACATCAACTTATGGGCAAAAATTTTATCTTCTTTTGGCCTAATTGGAAAGTTCTGACAATTAACAACAGAAACAAGAGCTAGCACAAGAACAAGATCAATTGGTTCAGATTACATAATTTTTTCTGATTGAGAAATTAAACTTGAGCAAACTATCCACTTGATGAAGGCCAAAACTGCTGTAACCAAGTCAGCTACAGACGAGAACAGAATATTCAATGAAAAATTAAAGAAGTAGGAAAGAGAAGAAAAGAAAAGAAAAGAAAAGATCCTAAGCATGTCTTTGAAGAGTTGTAACGGGAGATCAAATGTGGCTTTACCAGTGCCACTCGAAGGCAAAAACACAATCAAAGCAATGGCTACCAAGAGGTGGAAGTCATCTAGTCTAAGTAAATGTGACAAAAGCAAATATTATGCCAACAGTGTGTTTGGATGCCCAAGGTATTTTGGTTGATAACTTTTGGGAGGGCCAAGGTATGATAACATCGACTTATGAAAGAATTTGGAATCTGAAGAAAGCCAAATCTTTAGCAGATAAATGGATGAGATTGAATGCCTAGTGATTTCCATAAAAAGTCTGGCAAATTGCCCCTGTTTCATGAGGGGAATGAGCAAGAGCTTTGTTGTGATGGAGAAGGACTCTGCTAAAGCCTTTCTGAGCATTTATCTGCTAAAGTTTTGCCTAACTTTCCCCAATCTTTCATAAGTCGATGTTATCATTCTAAGTGAAGTAACTTAGGACTGGAAAACCAAACATCATATGTTCTCACTCATAAATGGGAGCTGAACTATGAGGATGCAAAGGCATAAGAATGACACCATGGACTTTGGGAACTCAGGGGGAAAGAGTCGGAAAGAGGTGAGGGATAAAAGACTACAAATTGGGTGCAGTGTATACTGCCCAGGTGATGGGTGCACCAAAATCTAGCAAATCACCACTCAAGAACTTATATACATAACCAAACACCACCTGTTCCCCAACCTATGAAAATAAAACAGAAAAGAAAAAAAAGAAAATCACTAGGCATCCAACTTACAGTACTGATGCAGTATCTTTGAACTTTTTTCTAATATTAAAATATCTTTAAATTGTACTCTGTTTTCTTCAGCTAATAATGTGAAAAGACTGCATTTATATGGTGAAATTCCCAGGGCCCTCAATTCTTTGTAGATAGGCTAAATTTCTTGTATCATTACTTGCCAAACTTCTTGAATGTGATGGAGATAATGTTAAGAAATAAAGTTTATATTGTCTACTTTCATATTGTAATTATGTTCTTCCACAAACTTTTTGAAATCCCCTTGTATTCTCAAACCCTTCTGGAAGAGTAGGAACAGATTCTTATGTGTACAACACAGGATCCTCTCATCCAACTGATCAAGTGGCCTGTCTTTAGGATGTCCAGTCACAACCCCACACACAATACCTCTAACAAGGTCATCCTGAAGTTATCACTATCCCTGAGCAAAAACTGAATGACAGTACAAGACTTATTCGAGGCCTGAGATGATAAGAGGCAGCTGTTGATACTGACTCACTTAAACTTTCCATGAAAAGGGTAGAAGGATGGGCAGGAACTACTTCATGTAACAGAAAAGTCAGCAGATGAAAAGAGAGCTACTAACACAAACTCAGTAAAAAGACCTTGGAAACACATTATGTTGATCTAAATTTTGAAAACAAAAATGAAAAGAAAGGAGTAAGAAGAATTATAGATGCTTACCTAGAAGATTAGATTTAAAAAATTTTACCAAATTTTATTTAAAAAGATGCCAGATGTAAGATGAAAAATAAACACAGGGAAGATTATTTAGAACACAAAATGTCTACAAATACATTTTAGAAAGAGAGTCGGGAGAAATTAGTTTCAGAATGTTGCAAAAATGAAAAAAATTTCTGTGTGGAAGAGCAATCTGGGAGAGAGATAGCACAGGTACTAAGAAATAGATCAATGCAATATGCTTGAGGCTTTTATGTGGGTACCAGACTATCTTATTGGAATATATAATTGTGGCCACTCATTATAAGTGGGAGTGATTAAAATTTTTTCCTAGATGACTGAACATGGTGACTCATGCCTGTTATCCAAGGACTTTGGAAGAGTGAGGTGGGAGGATCCCTTGAGGCCACGAGCTCAAGACCAGCCTGAGCAGCAAAGTGAGGCTCCATCTCTTCAAAAGTAAATAAATAAATAAATTTAAAAAATAAATGGGCATGGTCAGTGTCATGAACCTGTAATTCAAGCAACTTAAGAGGCTGAAGCCGGGGGAATCCCCTGAGCACAGGAGTTCAAGGATGCTGTAAGCCAGGATCATGACACCACAGTCCAGCCTGGGTGACAGAGCAAGAGTCTGTATATAAAAAAAAATTCCTAAAATATGTAAATCCCAAACTAAATCTGATCAAACATTCTAACAAAGCGGTACAGCAAGGAAAAAATTTTGACGATATGAAATCGGGTGTCTCATTCAAGAACTGTGTATTCATTCTGTTCATTTCTAGAACCCCTTGGTAGGTTTCATGGCCAACTCTGTTTTAACCTCCCCATGAGTATTAATGATAGAATTCATGAAGACACCTGTATTCTACAACACCAAGACTTTTCTGACTAGAGCCAGAGCCAGAGAAAATTAGACAATCTGTGTGGGTCTGACCAGGCTGAGGGCCAACCTTTTGTCAGCCATGAATGGCCAGGTTTGTGTTGTCTTCACACAGCTCAGAGTTCCAAAGAAATGATATCTATATAATCAAATATTTAGTGAAATATGATAGGCATAGGTATACAAAACTCCACAGCCAACCTCTTGTTCCTTAGAATAAGATTGTTTAGAAAACAGCCCTAAGAAGAGGTGATCAAGCTAAAATGGTGAGTTTCAGTGGAACTAAATCTAATAAGATTGCTCTCCTTATAAGAAGTGGAAATTCCTTATAAGAACTAGAAATTTGCACACGGAGAGACACAAGAATTATGTATGTATAGAAGCAGTCCCATGGGAAACACAGCAAGAAGGCAGGTATGTAGATGGCAAGCAGGCAGGGCCCAGAAGAACTGAACATGCTGACACCTTCATCGTGGAACTTGAGCATCCAGAAGTGCTGAAAAGGAATTTCTGTTGTTGAAGAATAGTTAGTCTGTGATATTTTTTTTGACAGCCATAATGAAGAAAGCTAGGGGAGAGCAGGTTTTAGGAGGTAGAAATCAAGAGTCCTGCTTGGCACATAGTAAGTTTATATTTATTTTAAATGGCAAGTGGATTGCTGAGGTTCTTGACTCATGGACAAGTGCCTAAGCTCCTGCTGCAGTCCTGCACCTTGTTTTGACCTCATCCTAAGTGACACTGTCTCCTTCAGTTCTTTGGTAACCTCTGTTTTGGTTGTCTCTGGTAGCTTGATACCTGATATTTACTCCTTCCTGATATGCTAATCTCTTTTCATGCATTTCTGACATAGGGGAAGGTCAGGAATAGGGCATGAGCTGAGTGATATTTGGAAGTATCACCTCTTGTCTTCCTGTACTCAGCAGATGAGAAGTAGCCTGCCACTAACTGGGACTGCAGCTTCCCCAGTGACTCCCACAAGTAGGCACATCTGCCTGGCACTCCCCTCTGCTTCTTCTCTCTTGCATTTCTTCCCTACTTGACAAGCCACCATAAGCTACCTAGGCCAGACTGCTCATAACCACCTTCTCTTTCCAAATAATGTTTGGTGAAACCAGAGAAAATCATTCAATAACATCAGAATAGCCGCTGGGCCCAAGCACTCTGTGTCTCTCTTGAAGCATGTGAATCTCAGTTACAAATGTTACACTTTCCATGTAGCTGGAGAATATTTGGCCACAGGTATTATATCCCATCTTCAGAAAACATTCCTATTTATGCTAAAAGAAAAACAAGAAACCAATCGGCCTAGTCAGCTGGAAAAGTCTAAATTACCTCTAGTAGACCTTCTTGTGTTAGGATGCCTTCCTATATGGAGTGGGTTGTTAAAATGCTGACGAAGAATGTACATTCTATTAAGAAATACCATGAATGAGCTGGGTGCGGTAGCTCACGCCTGTAATCCCAGCAATTTGGGAGGCCAAAGCAGGTGGATCACGAGTTCAGGAGATCAAGACCATCCTTGAAATCCTGTCTCTACTAAAAATACAAAAAATTAGCCAGGCGTGGTGGCGGGTGCCTGTAGTCCCAGCTACTCGGGAGGCTGAGGCAGGAGAATGGCATGAACCCAGCAGGCGGTGCTTGCAGTGAGCAGAGACCGCACCACTGCACTGCAGCCTGGGCTCCAGGCTGGGTGACAGAGCAAGACTCCATCTCAAAAAAAAAAAAAAGAAAGAAAGAAAGAAAGAAATACCATGAATGGATTCCAAATTTTTTGGCACCAAATGAAATTAGAATATCTTGCTATAACAAGTCTCAACAGGAGCTAGTTTGAGGCTTCAAGAAAAATAAGATAGCAGTTTCAAAAGAGTCCCTAGAAGAGCAACATGAATTCTTCTAAAATTAGAGTACAAACATCAAATTTATGGTGAAGCTTGGGTGGAAGAAGATGAAATCACTGACGGTGTCCAAAAAGTTGTCCTACTTGCCACATGGTAAGTTGACATTGGTTGAAGAAGTCAGCAGTTCACAAATTCAATGAGGAGTTCCTCATTTCAAGAAGGAATGAGACAATGTTGAACCTAAAGCCTACAGTGACAGATGAACCATGTCATATTGCAAGGTATACATTCATCTTCTTTATACCCTAAGAGAAGATGTGTGACAATTAGCACCACACACAATAGCCAACACTGCAGACTTCTCAGTTGGTTCAGTTTACATGATTCTAACTGAATGATCAAAGTTTAGTAAACTTTTCACTTAATGGATGCCCAACCTGTGTCACCAAGATCAAGTACAGAGATGAGCAGAACTTTCCCTAAAAATTTTAAATATGAGCAATGAAGACCGTAAGCAAATCTTCAATGAGTTATAACAGGAGACAACACGTGACTTTACCAGTAAAACCCAGAAAACAAATACAATCAAAGGAATGGCTACCAGGAGGTGGAAAAGTCCAGTCAAAACAAAGGTGGATGAGGAGAGCACAAAGGTCATGGCAAGAGTTTATTGGAGAGCTGAAGTCATTTTGCTGGTTGACTTTCTGGAGAATGACAATATCTGCTTATTCCGAGAATATTTTGAGAAGGCCAAAGCTTTAGTAGAGGAATCACTGGGAAAGCTTCAGCAGAGTCCTTCACCACGACCTTGCTCCTGCTCATTTCTCTTACCAAACAGGGCATTTATGTGAGAAAATCATTAGGCTTCCACAGTACAACCCTAATTTGGTTCCTTTGGATGTATTTCTGTTTTGTAATCTTATAAACAGTTTGTAAAAGGCATCCATTTTTCTTCAGTTAATAATGTAAAAAATACATATCAATAGCTGACATGTTGACCAAAATGTATGACAAACGGTCAATAAATCTTCTCCTTTTATATAGCTCATTAAGAAGCAGGATTGGGAAATGGTTGTAAACTGAGTACCAGATGGTAGAATTGAAACAAACTTCCCATGTAACACTTTTAGTTTTTCCTCCATTCCAAAGATAGCAGGAGGTAAATGGTTAAAGATCCCCCAAAGCTGTTGCACACATTTAGGGAGACTTAAAGTTCAGGAGTTTATTCAGTTGAGTCGTAGGCTGTGAATGAAAACTGGATGTGTCCTCATGAGCTACCACCATATTCTCTCTTCTCCCCAAGAGTGTACTCAGCTAAGTGAACAAGATGCCTGGGGGAGAAGGGTACAAAATGGGGGCAGAGTTGCAGAGTCTCACTTAGTAAGTCTGTCGTAGAATCCCTCCCAAGGAAAACCAAAGAGCCGGAACAAAGATAGAATACAAAAATCTATGGCCTTACATGGTGTTCCAGTCATGGACTCTTCGGAATAAACAACAGTGGTATGCCCTAGAAATCAGGCAAGGAATGTCTTCATTTACAGAGAAAACCTCTGGGGAAATCACTCTTCCTATTAAAAATCAAAGAACATCCATGAGTTGGTAATTGCCACAGTCAGCACCATCTCTGGAAACACCGGTGTGGAGACTGATGGATCCAGGACACTAGCAGAAATGCCCAAATGGATTAGGGCCATGAAGCTGCGCTTGCTTTTGTAGTCAAACATGAGAATTGTCCTTACCCCGCCGTAAGTTGTAGAGGAAAGACAGCATTGCTAACATTGACCATTCCTTCCATGCTTAAAGGTAGAAACACTACAAATACTAAGGGAAGGTGCCATTCTGCAGGGAGTATGTTCTTCAAGGGAAAAACTAGTGGAAGAGCAAGAATCTATAGCCATACATCGTTTCAATAGGCCCTTCAGTCACCACTACAGTACACTCTTTAGATACCTCCATGTATAATCTGCAGTCCCACAGTACATTTACAGCAGTGCAGGAAGATAGCCATTATTTGTAGACATAAGAATCAGATTATTTAGAAATTTGTTTCTATAGGCATTCCCCAGTCTTCTTTTCAGAAAAAATTCAGATATCCCTCAAATGATTGGAGTTTGTTTTAGGGAGGAGAAGGTCCTGAAATCTTATGATCCCCATGGGTCAGTGGAAGACAGAAAAATACATAAAGGCTTGAGTAAAGGAGTTGGCATAAAGAAGACCACTGCTAGTTCATGAACCTTCTAAATGTCTGTATTCTATTCACTCTAAACAGGGTCTTGGAAAGGGCCTGTGCACATGAAGGACCCCAAAGTTCAAGCTTCAGAAGCTTTGTAGATCATTCCAATCTGAGAAAAGCCATATGTCAATGTTGTTAGGTTGACTAGTTAAAAAAGCCTTTAATTGCTCAATACAAATGTACAAAGGCATGTTTCAATCAAGAATATGCAAATATAGACAAAAGCTTAGCTAAAAAATAAAGTTAGTAAAAATGTAAGATAAATGCAAACTCTTTTATGTATCATATCATAAACTTCTGTTTCTATGTCTGTTTACTAGAAGTCACAAAAGTTTTTTTTTTATAATATGGAGAGATTTGCTTTGGCAGTTCCAAAGATGGATAAGTAATAGACTTGAAACAATGTACATTTGTTTTTAAAAAATTACATTTGTTAGAGTATTAGAGTATAAAAATGTATTCAACATTTAAAATTGTTTCTAGATGTTTACTCAATAACGTTGTAAAAAATAACCATGTGATTATCAAGTCATTGTCATGTTACATTTAATGCAGCCAGGGAAGAAAAGACAGCAGCATATTCTTCAGATAAAATTAGGAACACAGGTAATAGCAGTCTGCCTTGTAAAGTCACTTGAACACACTTATATTGAAAGAGGCATAAACTAAAAGATCATCTGTAGGACCTGTTATAAACTGTGATAAGGAATTTGTCTCCATACTAAGGGTATTGGAATGCACAGTGTATTGAACACATGGACTGATTTCTGCTCTTTCCCAATGTCCCAACAAAATTACAATAAAGAAGCAGAGAGGAAATTAATACCAAAGGATGGGGAGAATGAAAGAAGAGATGACAATAAACAATAAATGTAAACAAAACTGTGGAATTGGAATGACAAATAGAAAAATAATAGAGTTTGTGAATGAGCAAAGCCAAAATCAGACATGAAGAGGGGACTGTTGTGCAATTTTCACCAGAACAGCTGGAAAATTAGTCCTATTTGAATATGGCATTTTCATGTGCAGAAATTTACATGTATATACATTTTAGTGCATATTCTGCATCAAAGTTTGATCATTCTTCTTCAACTGAATCCTGTGCATTTCTTGCTATTTGATCCTAGGTATTTTATATTGTTCTCATGAATAAGGTCATTCACTCATTTCTCTCTCTCTGTCTCTCTCTCTGTCTGTCTCTTTCCTTTCTTTGTCTTATGCTGTTCCCTATGATGTGCATGTCTTAGGGAAAGTCAATCACATTAAGATTTTATTTCTACCTTTGAAAAGTGAACATAAATGCAAAAAATCCTCAAAGTGCTATTGTAAGTACTAGAAGAGCTAAGGCATCAGAAACATCACTATGCAAGGTAGAAAGGAATAATCCATAAATCTTTAGCTATGTAGCCATGCATGTGTAGAAATATAATATATGATATAGGTAGCAATTGGGTCACTGAAACAAAGTCAGTTATTGAATATTGTTTAGAGACAATTTTGTATCCAATCATTTTTAAAATGAATGTTCTATCTCTGTCACACAGCATGGACTTCCTCACAGCATGTGTCAGGTTCCATAAAGAACAATTTGGAATTGCATGGCATTTCTATGATACAGACTCAAAAGTCACAAAGTATCACTTCTGATATAATCTACTGGTCATGGCAGTAATGCAGTTCTACCCAAGCTCCAAGGGGGTAAAAACAGACCTCATCCCTTCAAGAGAGGATGTCAAGGTACCATTGTAAGAAGAAAACATTAGATGAATGATTCTGTTGTGATCACATTTTAAAAACAATTTCCAAGATGATAAATATGCATACATGTGGACTTCAAAATCAATGAGATAGAATAATAATTTGTGGTTCTTACGCAGAAAAGACAACATCTTTTGTATGACATAGGGAAAGGTTTATGTGTTTAATAAGTGAGTCATTGATTAGTCACTTTAGTGAAATTCCTATCAGCTTACTGACTTTGTACATGATCAGAAAAACATGAGGGTGACATACATTGCTTTGTATTTCTTATAAGTTGTGATTGTACTTCTCTATGAACTGATAGGATGTTTAACTGAAAGCTGAAGAATACACTCTGACATTGTGTGATGAGGCTACAGACACTTGACCTTAGGCTGATGACCAATGCCTTCTATGGCCCCAATCACTGAGGATGGTACACCGGCTCTGGGGCCAGGACACAGGTGACATCTTCATGCAGAAGACTGAAAGTTATGTAAGTGGTATATAGTTTATCCTTTCTTAGACAACTCTCTGATCAGACTCCCTCTTGGATTTCTAGAATTTTAGATCCATTGTGATTAGAAGGATCAAATTTAGTCAATTTAAAAGGGCATACACAAATTTTGTCAATGCTAATATGCCACCCAAGAAAAATGCATGTAGCATGGATTAAGGAAGTACATAGAGGATCTACATTGACAGGGTTTTGTAATTAGAAAAAAAAAGGAATTAATTCCTCTGAGTGTCTTTATATAAATACAAGGGGTAAAGCAGAATACTAGAATATGTTTAAATGGGATTATGATTTCAAACAAACATGTTTACTCAGGAAAATATATTTTCAGTCACCTCAGCTCTTAACGTCTCAGGAAAATTTAACCTTGAAAATATTCTAAGAGAAACTTGCTTTTGTTCTCTGAATCTCATTTCCTTTCACTTTCTTTTAGAGAAATGAATGAATGAAGAGCAAGTAACCAATGGAGCACAGTAGGCAAGAACTCAGCTCTGAGAACTGAATGCCTTCCATTCCACTTACTACCTTTATAGGAACCTAGGCACGCACCTAAGTCACCTCATCTACAAAATTAAGATAATAATAATCACACCTCCCTAATACGATGGTTCTGAAGATTGAATATCATATAGTAAATGCTGAAGAAATGTTTTCTATTATAATCAGCCTTTGCTAGGATAAATGGAAAGAATATAAATAAGCTCAAATAATTGTGAAATATATATATATTAGAGAGCATCAACATCAAATAAAAATGTAAAGATGAAGATCCTACTAATGTAACCAAAGTTTTTAGAAAAGTCCAAGCAACGCTGAATTCTTGAACACGACTGTATTATCAGAATAGTTGGTTTACTCAATGAACACAGTAAGTTGAGGAAGATTCTGTTTTCTGTTCCATTCACAGAGCTTTCACGTCTTCAAAAAGAGGGAGATGTGTGGGTGTGAGGGAGCTGAGGCATGAAACTTTTATCTTATTACAACTGCAGAAGAAAATCCTAAGAGCATTTGAAGCATAAAAGTGTTATGATCTAATTCCTAGGTTTTTAAAAAAATTTTATTATTATTATACTTTAAGTTTTAGGGTACATGTGCACAACGTGCAGGTTTGTTACATATGTATACATGTGCCATGTTGGTGTGCTGCACCCATTAACTCGTCATTTAGCATTAGGTATATCTCCTAATGCTATCCCTCCCTGCTCCCCCACCCCACAACAGTCCCTGGTGTGTGATGTTCCCCTTCCTGTGTCCATGTGTTCTCATTGTTCAATTCCCATCTATGAGTGAGAACATGTGGTGTTTGGTTTTTTGTCCTTGTGATAGTTTGCTGAGAATGATGGTTTCCAGTTTCATCCATGTCCCTACAAAGGACATGAACTCATCATTTTTTATGGCTGCATAGTATTCCATCCTGTATATGTGCCACATTTTCTTAATCCAGTCTATAGTTGTTGTACATTTGGGTTGGTTCCAAGTCTTTGCTATTGTGAATAGTGCTGCAATAAACATACATGTGAATTTGTCTTTATAGCAGCATGATTTATAATCCTTTGGGTATATACCCGGTAATGGGATGGCTGGGTCAAATGGTATTTCTAGTTCTAGAACCCTGAGGAATCACCACACTGACTTCCACAATGGTTGAACTAGTTTACAGTCCCACTAACAGTGTAAAAGTGTTCCTATTTCACCACATCCCCTACAGCACCTGTTGTTTCCTGACTTTTTAATGATTGCCATTCTAACTGGTGTGAGATGGTATCTCATTGTGGTTTTGATTTGCATTTCTCTGATGGCCAGTGATGATGAGCATTTTTTCATGTGTTTTTTGGCTGCATAAATGTCTTCTCTGACTGATATGAGGGGAACGGATATGGGATGTGCTGGGGCAGGAATGTTACCAAGAGCAGCTGAGGATATTAAAGTCCTACAGGAGAGAGTATCACGGCCTGAACTATCACCTTCTAGTAAAGATTATGCAAGTGGTTGTATTTGGGATGAGTGTTGAAAGTGGAGGCAACTCGATTTGCTAAAGGGCAGTGCCTGAAGGGAGTGAGGAGTTTTGAACCACTGAACACTCGACTTAGAAAAGGTTGGGAGCTGTTATGAGAGCTGAATTGCATCTCCTAAAATTTCATAGGTTGAAGACTGTTCCTTCAGGACCTGAGAATGTGAACATGGATATTAGAAGGCAAGTGGAGTGCTAAGGGCTGCAACTCATGTCTAGGTGCCCAAGTTCCTGCTGCAGGACTGCTTGTCTCTTCCACCCACCCTCACTCACAGAGAGTGTCCCTTTCCACATTTCCATCACCTCTTTTTTGTTTTGTCTGGTGAGTGCATAGCTGATATTTATGCTTTCCTGAAAAACTTTACTCATTGCTGACATTGGAGAAGAACAGGGAAAGAGCCTGAAATGAGTGACCTTTAGGGGCATTTCTGTTCTCTTCCTGTACTCTCCTGCCAAGGGGAAGTCTGTCTTGCATCAGGCTGCAGCAACCTTGGTTGGTGACATAAACAGGCAATGTCATCCTTGCCTCTTTGTTGCTCCTTTTCTCTGACATTCCTTTGTTACCTGATGGTCTAACTTAAGCCACCTAGGCAGGATTGCTCATTTCCAGTTCCTATGGAAAACAGGGTCTGTGAGACAAGAGACACAAATCTCAACAATACAGTGGGATCTGCTGGGACCAAACAACTACTCTCTGCCTAAGATAAAACTCATGAAGCTCAGCTAGAACCAATCCACTTTCCATAGAGCCAGAAAGAATTGCCAATTAGTAATGTATTCCCCTTTGAAGTACATCTGTATTTATGCCAGGGAAAATACCAATCTGTCTGGTTCCCTTGCAAGGGCAAAATTATCCATAGCAAAGCCTTTTGTATTAGGAAGTCTCCCTGTACTAATATCCGCAACTCTTCAGAAGGGCCAGACCAGACCCTCATGTGCACAGCACAGGATCCACTCATCCCCAATGGCCAAGAGGCCTGTCTTTAGAATTTACTGTCACATACCCTCTCTACCCCCATCATACCTCCCACCAAGCTGTCCTCAGATTACCACCAGCCATGCACAAAATGTGAAGAATTACACAAGACACATGGAAGGTCTAAGTGGTAAATGGCAGCTGTTGATACTGACTAACCTGTATATTCCACGAACTGATGAGCAGGGATTTACCAGATATAAGAGAAGAACCAGCAGCTAAAAGAAGTGCTAACAGTGCAGGACTCTGAGAGGGCTTTTTGGAAACACAACATTTATTGTGAAATTACACAGACAGGAATGAAAAAAAGAGGTTAGGAGTACTATATCTTATTCTGTAGAAGATTAAATAAAGTAAATCTCACTAAATTCATGGGGAAAAGCCAGCTACATAATAAAAAATACACATAATGAGCTTGACTCAGAAAATAAAATATGAACAAAGAAGTACTAGAAAGAACGTGGGGAGGAATGCATATCAGAATATTGTAGAAAAAATACTCCTTGTGGAAGAAGAATCTGAGAAAACAGGTAACACAAATACTGACTAAACAAAGAAAACCAATACAATGCAACTGAGGGTTTGATGGCGGTATCTGATTATCTCATTTGAATGTAGAATTGTGGCCACTTAATTAACAGTGGTAAGAATTTGATACAATTCCTAAAAGAAATGAAGCAGTGGGTGAATTTTATAGAATATTCTAGAGAAAGGGAAGAGCATGAAGGAAATTTTAGCGACCTGACATTGCATGGCTCCCTCAAAGAACTATGTATTCAGTTTTCTCAGGTCTAGAAATTTCCTGGTGGTTTCTGTGTCTACTTTGCATTAATAACCCCTAAAAATACTTTAGAATACAAAATTTTAGACTTCCTGTGTTGTACAGGACCAAGCCTTGCCTCAGCTGAGTGAGATCCACAGAAACTTGAACAATAGCCCTATCCTGAGCAGGCTGCGGGGCAGCTTTCTGTCATCTATGTGTGCACAGAAGTGTGCTGTCCTCACACATCTCATAGATAGCAGAAACCATCTCTATCACATCAAAAATTGAGCTAAATATGAAAATATCTGTACACACACATCACAAGAGATGGAAATAGGGCATAAAAAGATGCAGAGATATTGACCATTTTCACTGCTGGCTGTAGCATCGCTGCTCACACACACATAAACAGAAATAAATAGCACAGTGGAAAGTGGATGATAGTCTTACCTAAAAGATTGAAACTCTAATGATATCTAAAGTTCAGTGATGACACAGTGCTGATGGCTTGGACACAGTTCCTTCAAAACCATTGTTCAAGTCATAGTTGTACCTTTTGGAAATAAGACACTAACAACATATCCTATCCAACTCATCTCTCTGGGCTAGAGTCTCAAAGAAAAATAAGGGATACACCTGACCTGCAGTGAGCAAAGCAGAAGCCAGTCTCTGAGGTGGTGAGGCCCACCCAGTGTGGAGCTCAAAGGTGCCATTGTTCTTCTCCTCTTTATAAAGGGAGTTGCCACGTTCCTCCCAGCACAGAGTTGGGAGTGACTCCAGAGCCTCCTGCAAGATGCTGTTGATTCTGCTGTCAGTGGCCTTGCTGGCCCTGAGCTCAGCTCAGAACTTAAATGAAGGTAAAACAGAAGAGGGAAAAGATGTGGTGACTCTGCTTGGGGCTTAGGAGGTGATAATGGTAATTACGGGGAGGAGAGGAGAATGAAAACACAGATGGGGCTGCAGAGTTTTCATGCCTAGGATCAGGAGACCTGTTGTACCCTCATTCCACACTAAGGGTTTCTAATTTATTTAATGTACAATGAAATCCAATAAAGAATTTGTTCCAGGGGAATGAGAAGGTAAGATTTGCATTTATAGATAGAACTGTGCTGTGAAGGATGCAGTAGAGAATGCAAGGCAGATTCATGGAAGTCCAGCTGTGAAGATCCTAAACTGATCTCAGTAAGTACACAGGGATGATGGTGGCCTTGCTGTACAGTGCATCAGCATCGATGATGGCGATAAACACACACAGTATCAGAGATACTGCAGAGACAGAGAATTGGATGGAACACTTGTCTCTGTTTAACTAGAGATACAGAAATATCAGAGCCAATCATTGTCATTTTTCTCTCCCTTACACGCAGTATTTCAATGTGCTGGGAGTGGTATGGGTAAGATTGTATTGAAGTGATTACTTCTGGTTACCCCAATTGAGAAAGCATGTGTACATAAGCAATGTATTTATAGGAAATGGAGGGCATAAGAACACCAAAGTATCACATTGAAGTACCTGGCATGTGTGAACTAAATTAGCATTAAGTCTTGAGGGATGCTAGGGAGGGAAAAAAGGGGCTCTTCTATGTTGAGTTCATGGCTGTTGCTCTGTCATAACAACCCTGTCTCCCCTTACACCTTCCTCCCCTTCCAGCAGCTTCACAGATGGTGGCTGACTAGTTAACTTAGGGGATGCATGGGGTGTCATGAGAAGACCCTTTTCCCTGTAGAACACTTGTGAGTCTTGAAAGGTTCAAGATGTAACTTTTCCCATCATCCTGTGCTTCTCTTCTAGATGTCAGCCAGGAAGAATCTCCCTCCCTAATAGCAGGTAAAGCCTGATTCGTTCTCAATCTGTTTTGACTGTCTTTTTCTGCTTATGAGTGGATCAGTTCTCCAGTGTCTTCTTATCAAAACTTTCCTTTCAGGAGTTGATTAATGTTAGTGCCCCTAACAATATAGGCACTCTTCGTGCAACCTTGATTCTGGGCATCATGAGCAGGCCACCAAATTGAATGGCAGAGATGCTTGGCTTAGATGACAACAGGAGTGTGTTGCCTCATCCCCCCGGCCAGGAATGCCTGCTGGGAGATGACAGAAATGGGCAGCATCCTCATTCTGTCTCCTCTTTATACTGAGAGGCCCTCAACTGCTTTGTTCTTCCCCAGCTTTCCACTCCAGAGTTCTATGTCTTCACTGAAAATGCAAATAAATTAATGTCTTTGTTCCATTTTTGTGTATTTCCCCACTCAGCTTGTTACCCAAGCTGATAAAAATTTACTGCAACTATTCAGTGAATCTTGTGTGGGCTTTTACTCTGTCTTTCTCTTCTCTCTTTGTCCTCCAGGAAATCCACAAGGACCATCCCCACAAGGAGGCAACAAGCCCCAGGGCCCCCCACCTCCTCCAGGAAAGCCACAAGGACCACCCCCACAAGGAGGCAACAAACCTCAAGGTCCCCCACCTCCAGGAAAGCCACAAGGACCACCCCCACAAGGGGACAAGTCCCGAAGTCCCCGATCTCCTCCAGGAAAACCACAAGGACCACCCCCACAAGGAGGTAACCAGCCCCAAGGTCCCCCACCTCCTCCAGGAAAGCCACAAGGACCACCCCCACAAGGAGGCAACAGACCTCAAGGTCCCCCACCTCCAGGAAAGCCACAAGGACCACCCCCACAAGGAGACAAGTCCCGAAGTCCCTGATCTCCTCCAGGAAAGCCACAAGGACCACCCCCACAAGGAGGTAACCAACCCCAAGGTCCCCCACCTCCTCCAGGAAAGCCACAAGGACCACCCCCACAAGGAGGCAAGAAACCTCAGGGTCCCCCACCTCCAGGAAAGCCACAAGGACCACCCCCACAAGGAGACAAGTCCCGAAGTTCCCAATCTCCTCCAGGAAAGCCACAAGGACCACCCCCACAAGGAGGCAACCAGCCCCAAGGTCCCCCACCTCCTCCAGGAAAGCCACAAGGACCACCCCCACAAGGAGGCAACAAACCTCAAGGTCCCCCACCTCCAGGAAAGCCACAAGGACCACCCGCACAAGGAGGCAGCAAGTCCCAAAGTGCCCGATCTCCTCCAGGAAAGCCACAAGGACCACCCCAACAAGAAGGCAACAATCCTCAAGGTCCCCCACCTCCAGCAGGAGGCAATCCCCAGCAGCCTCAGGCACCTCCTGCTGGACAGCCCCAGGGACCACCACGCCCTCCTCAAGGGGGCAGACCTTCCAGACCTCCCCAGTGACAGCCTCCCCAGTCATCTAGGATTCAATGACAGGTATGATTCCAGTTTATTCTTCACCAAGTGCTCTAATTGCTACAGCTCTCCAGCTTTATTGTGCCAATGAATCAGCTAAAAGCCCATTGGCATTGTATAGTCCCAGATCCCATTTCTAAAGATTTGTATTGACATATTCTGGAAATGGGTAACAAGATCCTATATTTGTAACAAACTCTTTAAGGAATTCTGATGTTGAGAAACAAAATTCCAAATAATCTGTCTTAAGTTGTGTTGGCAACAAGGAAGTAGTACCATGTTCTCTCTGGCGCTCTGTTTTCTGTGCACAAACTGAGAGACCTCCCATTTAAAGTTTTCACCTGAGCACTGTTTGCTCAGTCCTGCCTCACACCAGCCTCTTGAGTCCAGTATTCCTGCCAAGTGGTCCCTGAACTTTCAGCAGCTAAATGGTGTCTCATTTTTCAAATTCTTACTGTTCAATAAGTACATGATTAAGCTAACAAAAAATATCTAATGCAATGGAAAAATATGAATCTAAATTTAAAGGCATGACTCATCCTACCTGCCTCCCCTCCTTCAGAAAACTGCCACTGTTAACTTTATGGCATCTTCTGTTTGAAATATTTATGTGTACATAGACTACTAGAATATTTTTCCCCCAGAACTAATACCATAATTTATATTCAGGTACATATGTTAGTCATTTAAAAAATACATTTCTTTGAAAATTTCCACATACGTCTATGAAGCTAAGTAGATCTCTTCAGTGGTTATCTGTTTGTTTTTACCATTTTATACTACTCCATTATGTGGCTGCACCGTGATTTCTTTAACCAATCTGTGTCACTGGACACTGAGGGTGGTTTCAGCTTCTCACTGTTATAAAATATGTTCCAGTTCCCATCTGTGTAAATATATCTGTGAACAAATTCAGCAGCAAGTAATAATAAGCTAAGAATGATCTTCTGTCTTCATCACGTAAGGAACAATTTGGAGCACATTTTGTGCAAGGGCATCCAAAGAGTGAACACACAAAAAATTAGGGAGGAAACACAGGAGGTAGAAGGGATGGGGGAGAGAGGATGGGCTCTCATGTACTGTAGTGCAGTAAGACCAGTGAGGAATTCGACATTTCCTGCCATGTCAAGTCTGGTCTATGAACTTCCTTCTTTGTTTGTTTCAGGAAGTGAATAAGAAGATGAGAGTGATTCAAATGATTCAAATTCCATGACATTGGAAAAAGGTCATCATAGCTCTAACTTCAATATACCAATAAAATAATCAGCTTGCAATTTCTGATTGTGGTGTCTGTTTCTCAATATTTGTGAATGTGGGATCTGAGGACCAAGAAGACTGTATAAGAACATGTAGGAACCCTCCTCCTTGATGCTCCAGGAAACTTCTCTCCTCCTTAATCCTAATTTACCCAGGTGCCATGAAAAAATATTTTACTGTTTCTCTACTTCCCTGACTTCTATTTCCCCCCCCACCCAAGATGGAGTCTTGGTCTATCACCCAGGCTGGAGTGCAGTGGCAGGATCTCGGCTCACTGCCCCCTGCATCTCCTGGGTTCAAGCTATTCTCCTGCCTCAGCCTTCCAAGTATCTGAGATCATAGGTGCTCACCATCATGCTTGGCTAATTTTTGTATTTTTAGTAGAAATGAGGTTTCCCCATGTTGGCCAGGCTGGTCTCCATCCCCTGACCTCTGGTGGTCTGCTTGCCTCGGCCTCTGAAATTGCTGGGTTTATAGGTGTGAGCCACCATGCCTGGCCCTTCCCTGACTTCTATAGCATAAATTGAAATTTTAAAATTATTTTCAGATTGTTTACTGATATTCCAGTGATCTTAAGGACAAAAAACACAACAAATGCAACAAAGTCACAGAAGCTGAATGAAATCCTTATAATTTCTAAGAAACTGAGTTTGGTTTCAAGGGAATGAATATGGCTCTATGCTTCTTATCCCCAGAACCCTGTCTATCTCATTGACCCTATTTTAACAGTGATCACTTCTCTCCCTTCCTGTGTTACTCACCATTCTTTAATGGAACTTGAATGGATTTCATGAAGGAGGCAGCACGATTTTAAGGAGCAAAGAATTTGGACACTCTCAGGTTTTAATTAAGACCTAATTCTTTTTCTTAATATCTCTGGATTCTTAAAAGGCTACTTGGCTTCTCAGGGCTTCAATTTCCTCATCTAAAATGAGCATAATCATAACAACTACCTTAGAGTATGGAGACTAATGAGATAACATACATACCAAAAACCTTGCAGAGACTGGCATGTCTGCTTCTCAAGCAAGGAAGGTTCAATATTAGAAACTGCCTCTCTGCCCACTGATAGTCTCAGATAATTCAGTAAGAAGTCAGAAAAATCAGAACAGAATGATCTCACCATAACCACCACTAAGTTGAGCAACCCATGTTCAGTTGAAACCCAGGTCTCTGGCTTCCCTCCTATTATCATAGGTGAAGCCTTCCTACCCCTATATCTTAACTTCCCACTTTATTCTGAACCACATTGCGTGGTCAGGGATTTTGCCTCTGCATGTGACCCGTTTGTCTCCTGATTCTTACATCTATGCTCTATGGGATTATTTCAATCAGCAAAAGCCTGCTGAAACATCACCCATTTCTATAGAAGTCTTCCTAAGACTGTTAGTGCTTCTTTCCTATCATATTATTTGTCTGCCATTTTTATTGGAAAAGTTCTTGAAACGTATGTATGTGATTATTTCCCCATCCCCCCACCTCCAAATTTTTCTTATGCACACGTTATAGATGCTTTTGTTCTGCCTAGTCACCTGGAAATCACAAAGATATCTATAGCGAACTTTATTGTATTAGGAAATCTTTCTGTAATACATTGGGTCCTAAAAAGATCATGAAAAATGCATATTGCATTTAAAAAGCTCTGCATGGATTCCAAAATTTTTCGAACCAAAATGAACTCAGACGGTATTGTCACAACATGTGTGAACAGGATCTACCTCGCAGCATCAAGAAGTCTAAGACAGTATTTTGAAAAGAGCCTCTATGACAGCAACATGTACTCTGATCAAACTATAGTGACTGCAAACATCTAATTTATGGTGAAGCCTGGGTAGAAGAATGGTGAAATAATTGATGCTTTTCAAAAAGTTTAAGAGGCCAATGGCCAAGAAAATCAGAAGCTCACAGATAGATAACTCACTTTAAGCAGGGATGATATGATTTTGAACATAAAGCCTACAGCGGCTGACCACTCATATTAATTTGCAAAGAAAAAATTCATCTTGTTGATACCATAATATAAGAGGATTAGTGATTAACAGTACAAACAATAGCCAACACTGCAGACTTCTCCATTGGTTCAGCTGACATGATTCTAACTGGATAATGAAAGTAGAGGATACATTTCCACCCGATGGATGTCAAAACTCTTGCACCAAGATCAGCTACAAACAAGAACTGAAGTTTCTTGAAAATTCAAAAAAATGGTATCAAGATCCTGAAGAATTTGTTCAAAGAATTGTAACAGGAATTGAAACATGGCTTGATCTGTACAATCTGCAACCAAACACAATCAAAGTAATGGCTACGGAGAGGTGGAAGTTAAAGCAAGAGTGGATGGGCAAAGGGCAAACGTCAGGGCAAAATTTATTTTTAAATCTCTCGGTGTTTTGCTTGTTGACTTTCTGGAGGGCCAAAGAATGACAATAACTGCTTATTATGACAATATTCTGAGATGCAGTCAGCTATAAAATCTAACATGGAAGTTAAAGGCAATCTCTTTTCTCCCTGTTGTTGTTGTTAAGTTGTTAACTTAGAAAATGAAGCAATATTTTTTTATTAGCCATGAGTGTCCACCTGGTATCTCCTATTTTCTAAGAAGGTTCTGAGCTATAGCACAAGTTCACCACTAAATTACAGAAGATGGAATAATTTTAGAAATCTAGAGAAGCATAGGATATTTCCAAAGGAGGCATAGATCCTGGCTGAGGGGAGGAAATTGTTTAAGGATGAGGGAAGGACAATTATTAGCTGTTCTCCATTGAATATGGGCTCAACAATTATTCATTGGAATGAAATTTTGAGAGTGGTTTTTACTTTATGAGGAAAGATGTTGCTTAATTGCCCTGTGTTAATAGCCATGATAATTTCATTCCTCTCTAATATTTTATAAAGTGGCACAAACACATTAGAGCGGCCACAAAAAAGTATGAAATGAATGTTTGGAAAGTATATTAGCTTTCCTATTGCTGCAATAAATAATACATTACCGCAAAGTGAGTGGATTTGTAGCTCAGAAGTCAGAAATGGGTCTCACTGGCTTAAATCCATGTGGAAAGGCTGTTTCATGCTGGAGTCTCCAGGGCAGAACCCATTTACTTGCCCACATTCCTTGGCCCTCTTCCATCTTCAATGCCAGCAGTAGCCAGATAAGCCTCCCATCACATCACATCACATCATGACACATCACGCCACGTCACGTCACGTCACGTCACGTCACGTCACGTCACGTCACATCACATCACCCTGGCACTGACTCTTCTGCCTCCCCATTCAACATTTAAGTATGTTGTGATTACATTGCTTGTACTTGGATGATCCCATAAAGTCTCTCTATATTCAGGTCAATTGATTAGCAAACTTAGTACCCCTTTGTCATGTAAGTTAACATATACACTGATTCTGGGAACTAGGAAGGGTGTGTCTCTGGGAGGCCATTAATCTTCATAGCACAGATGGGACGGACATCTTTCTCCCCTGGAACTGGTTTGATTCAGGGCAGGTGGAGAGAATTGCCCAGGCATCTTCCAGATGTTCGCATGAGAATATGAATGAGTTTATGTAAAATTAGTTGTAATGCTAATATTTGTACTTGAAGTATATATATATACAATAGTGTAAGTCACAAACTGAAATGGCAGAAATTTACTTTCAATAACCATTTTCATTTCATGTAATTGTTAATAATTTACAGCCATTTTGTTTACTTTATATTTATACTCATTTTGATTGTTTTCTTTCTTTCTATCTTCTGTGGATTCCTTGAAAAGGTTTTTTGATTCCATTTACGTTGATCTGCAATGTTTTTGAGTGTCATTCTGTATACAGCATTTTTAGTGGTTGCTCTGGGTATTACATTACACATACATAGTTTGTCACAGTCTAGTGGTGTGCTCTTTTTACCCTCCGGGGGCGAAATATGAAAACTTTATATCCCTGTTATTTACCGACCTCTGTTTGTAATATAATCATCTTAAATATATCTCTACGTGCATTTAGCAAAAACAGTACGTTTTATAATTTTTGCTTCAACATGACATTATTGTCTTTCAGTTTTGTAGCTCAGGATTCTGAATCGGGTCTCACTTGGTTAAATCCATGTGTCAAGGCTGAGTTTATTTCTAGGGGCACCAGAGAAGAATGTTATTTTTTGCCTCATTCCCTAGATCTCTTTCCTCCTTAATATTAGCAATAGCCAGTTGAGCAATTTGAAACTCCTGCAGAAAATTTGAGAAAAAAAGGAAAATGTTTTGTGTTTACTTACTTTTTCCCCATTTTCTGTTGCTTTTTTTCTTTTCTTTTTTTGCTTCATTCTTGCTGTTCCAGAAATTCCTCTTCTATACTTTTTTTCTGTTTAGAGTACTTGCTTGAGCCATTTTAAAAAAATTGGTTTGTTGGAAACAAATTCTGTTAGGATTTTTCTTTTCATTCTTCTGAGAATGACTGGATTTCTTTCTCCTTATTGAAGGATAGTTTTATTGGACATAAACCTCTGGTTGGCAATTTTTTTCTTTCAGCACTTCAAATATTTGAGCTACATTCTTCTGTTGTTTTCTGCTTTCTGGTAGTAACGCCACAGATATTCACATTGTGTTTTTCCTATACGCATGGTATTATTTCTTTCTATCTGCCTTTAAAACATTTTCTTTGTTTTAATTTTCAGAAATTTGACTACAATGTTGCTGGGCATAGATTTCCTTGGATATATTTTGGTTGGGATTTGCTCAATTTCTTGCATCTGCAGGTTTATGCCCATTGCAAGTTTGGGGGGTTCAGCCTTTCTCTTTGAGTCCTTTTTCAATACCATCCTCGTTTTTCTCTTTTTCTGAAACTCAGACTGCATGATTATCACATCATTTGTTACAGCCTTTCTTATTTGTGACACAAACAAAATTTTTTTTGACTATTTAATCCTGTGTTGTTCAGAGTATATAATTCCTATTAATGCAAACTCAAGAACGCTATGTCCTCCATCATTTTCTTTCTGCTGTTGATCACACATAATGAATTTTAAAAAATTTATACATTATATATCACAGTTCTAAAATTTCTATTTTATCTTATATGCTTTATTTTTCTCTGCTGAGAAGTTTTTTCTTTTATTTTGAGAGTGTACACATTGACCTCTTAAAGGATGGCTATAACAGCTGCTTTAAAGTCTCATCATTTCAATATCCAATTTGCTTCGAAGTTGTTGTCTCTTGATTGTTTCATTCCTTAATAATTGTTCAATTGTTTCTGGTTTTTTAAAGTATATTGGGTGATTTTCTATTTTGTCTTGCACATATGCATTTCCTCTGTTTGCAATACAGAAAAGTTTCAAAAAGGCAAGCTTTGGACATTGGAGGGAAGAGACACTAGTGCTACATTGTAATCCACTGGGTGGTTCAAATGCCAGAAGGGTTTGTCCCACTAACATTTTTCTACTTGGAGCTTGTGCCTGGAGGTTTCTCTCTGTCTCTAATGAGGTAATGTTATAAATATTTAATATCATACCATACATTCAAATGTAAAAACTACAAAAAACTGTGCGAATGTGTCCCAAGAGCCCAATTTACAAAGTCTTTCTGTCTTTTTTCTTTTGTGTACTGTTGACTCAAACCACATCAGTTGGTCAGGTACTTCTTTTTTCTTTTCTTCCTACAGGAACACCAGAGGTTGACACCTGCTTATTAGAAGCTATCACAGTAGTCAGGTGGCTCTGCTGTCTTCTGATTGGGGATTGACGGAGTGCAGGACAATGAGGCTTAGGTAAAAAGAATATCTACTAGCCTGGCATGGTGGCTCATGCCTCTAATTCCACTACTTTTGAAGGCTGAGGTGTGAGAACTTCTTGATGCCAAGAATCCCAGATCAGCTTGGGCAACATAGTAAGACCCTCTGTCTTTACAAAAAATTACCAATTTATCGTATCTCAGTGGGTGTGCCTGTAGTCCTAGCGACTTAGGATGGTTAGATGGAAGGATTACTTGAGCCCAGGAGATTGAGGCTGCAGTGAGCCAGGATTGTGCCACTGCACTCTAGCTTAAGCTATAGAGCAAGTCCCAGTATTTAAAAAGAAAAAGAAAAAAAAGAATGACTAGAGCTACCAAAAAGGCTTTTCTTCCTTAGCTTTTTCCCAGATTCACCGTTCTTTAAAGTGCATCTCCCAGTGTCTAGAGAGGACACAGATTTGGTTTCTCTTCCTTTCTTTCTTCTCACATGCTCCTGTGGCTACATCCTGTGGCTCTCGGTATGCCTTCCCCACTCTCAAAGAACCAAGTACAGTGGTGGTTTGAGCAGTTATAAGCAATTTGAGTCCTTACCCTACTTGATATCTTGCAATATGTTGGGATGAGTGTATAGGACCTTTGGTCCTCCTTGGGTCAGTGAGATCTCAGGCCCAGCCTGAATGCTTAACAGAATTGAGATCGGAGTAGGGGAAAAGAAGTAATAAAGGAGATATGGACTAAGTGTCTTCATGCAAGTAAGCAAGACACATTTGCTTTCAAATTCAAGTAGTGCAGACACTGCTCAAGGCTCAGCTGAATAAACATCAGAATTATACATTTCCCCAATGAACTGTAACAGCTTTGGGGGATCTTTGATCTTTCTATCTCTTGTTATCTGTGGAAGAGAGTCAAAATTAAAGTCTCATTTGTGAAGTGTGTTTTAATTCTAACACCTGATACTCAGGTTTCAACCATTTCCCAATCCCAATCATTAATGAGCAACATAAAGGGAGAATATTGAGAATATTTATTGACCAATCTTCATACGTTTTTGTCAGCATGGCCGGTATTTGTATGTCTTTTTTACATTATTAACTGAAGAATACTGGATGCCCTTTACAGACATTATGACATCATGAAATGAAAAGAAAACCAAGGGAACCAAATTAGGATTGTAATGTGAATCATTAATGATTTTCCATCAGAACTCTCACACAATGGCCCTGTTTGATGAGAGAAATGAGCAGGAGCACTGTTGTGGTGAAGGACTCTGCTGAAGCTTCCCCAGGCATTTCTCTACTAAAGCTTGGGCTTTCTGACCCTATTCTCAGAATAAGCAGATATTGTCATTCTTTTGCCCTCCAGAAAGTCAACCAGCAAAATGCCTCGTGCTTCCCAATAAACTCTTGCCATGACATGACCTTTGCACTTTTCTTATCCACTTTTGCCTTGACTGGACTTTCCACCTCTTGATAGCTATTGCTTTGACGTATTTGTTTTCAGGATTGTACTGGTAAAGACAGGTTGCATCTCCTGTTAGAATTCCTTGAAGAAATGCTTCAAGATCTTCATCCCCCTTATTTAAAATTTCATGGAAAGGTCTGCTCCTGTCTGTAGCTTATATTTTTGCTATAGTTTTGGCATCCATTGAGTGAAAAATTTACTCAACATTAATTACTCAATTCGAATCAGGTAAGGGGAACCAATTGAGAATTTTGTAGTGTTGGCTCTTGTTTGTACCGAGAATTATTGGTACAAAAATTCATCTTGTACCAATTTTATCCATGCAATTTGATATGAATCCTCTGTGTCTATGGGCTTTAGGTTCAACCTTGTCTTATCCCTTCTTGAAATGAGTTACCTACTTGTGAACTGCCAATTTTTAGGGCCATTATCCCTACCAGTGTTTCAGAAAGCATCATTGATTTCACCTTCTTGTACCCAAGCTTCACCATGAAGTTCACGTTTATACTCTTTTTAATTTTAGAAGAATTCATGATGCTCTCATAGGGGAACTTTTGAACTTGCTCTTATTTTTCTTGATGACTCAAGTAGCTCCTGTTCAGACATGTTAGAGCATGTCAATATGAGTTTATTTTGGTGCAAAAATTGGAATCTATTCTTTTTTAAATATAACATACTTTTTCCATGAACATTTTACAGTCCCAATGCATTACAGAAAGGCTTTCTAATACAATAAAATTTGCTACACATAAATTTGATTTTTCCAGGTGACTCGGTACATTGATTTTTTGTTTTTTTCCTGGCATATACAGGGTGAGGAATTCTTTTTGTTTGGATTTCTTGTGAGATATGAATAAAAATGTTGGTCACTTTAAATGGTATCCACAGTTTAGCCAATGTCTCCTGAGAAAAGTGTGTGTAAGCATGCATAAAAAGCACTTCATGATCCTGATTGCCAGTGATTTTTTCATTTATAAAAAAGAAGAAAGTGGCTGGGGGTGGTGGCTCATGCCTGTAATCCCAGCACTTTGGGAGGCTAAGGCGGGTGTATCACGAGGTCAGGAGTTCAAGATCAGCTAGGCCAAGATGGTGAAACCTGTCTCTGCTAAAACTAAAAAAATGAGCCAGGCCTAGTGACAGGTGCCTGTAATCCAAGCTACTTAGGAGGCTGAGGCAAGAGAATCGCTTGAAACCAGGTGGCAGAAGTTGCAGTGAACAGAGACTGTGCCACTGCACTGCAGCCTGGGTGACAGAGGGAGACTTCAGAAAAAAAAAAAAAAAAAAGAAGAAGAAGAAATTAATCATGTGCATGACTAAATACACAAAGATGAAGAAAAGGGGAATGTAGAAGCCTGTGTAATGTGCTTATGATTTAGAAACAACTTTAAGAAAATAGTTTTGTTTGTTTTTTTTTTTCACTTCACCTGGTCATGTCTTAAGAAAAGCTTTACTTCAAGCAGGTCCTAAAACCAGTACCTGAGTTTCTTGTCTGGATCTAATTTCTTCTCACTTTCTTGAAAATAAACAAATATGTTCATAAATGCAAAGAGCAGTGGAGCAAAGGAGGCAAGAACTGAGGCTCTGGAGACTACCGCCATCTACACCACTTACTAACTTTATAACTATCTTGGCATGTGCTTCCATCATCTCATCTATAAAATGAAGCTTGTAATAAAAATTATTACTACCTGAAAAGATGGTTCTGAAGATTATATGGCACATAGTCAATGCTTGGTAAATATTTCCTATTATAGTCTATCATGTTACAATAGGCTTGTAGAATATGAATGTGCTAATATAATTGTGAAAGTTATGTTTATGAAGACTCTACTGTAAGTCAGCATATGAGAACCACTATCATAATAGGGTAGCCAGAATTTTTAGAAAAACCTAAGCAAAGTACACTTCTCAGAGACAATTGTGTTGAATTGTTAACTGTATCATCATAATGCTTAGTTGATTAAATGGGCACACAGAGGAACTCCCCTCAGACCACAGGGACTAAATGCAATTCACTCACTATCAGCACAACTCTGTCCATGTTCAACTTCTGGGCAAACCACTCTTTAGTTGTTCTAGACAAACCAGCGCATTGTAAAGTTGAAGAAAATTCTTCTTTCAGTTCCATGCATAGAGCTTCCCAGTCTTTGAGAATGACACGTGAGTACGAAGAAACTTAGGTGTGAACTTTACAAGATCTTACTAAAAGGAAAATCAGGAAAACTTAGAGGATATGAAGGAAGAAGGTAATATTTAATATTTATTATTAAAAGATCACACTGGCTATTGTGAGGAGAAGTGATATGGAATGTGGTGGGAGCAGGAAGGTTACAAGGGCAGCTAGGGGCTGTTCTAGTCCTCCAGGAGAGAGGGTCATGCCCCCACTAGAGCCTTATATTAGAGATTATGGAAAGGGTCATCTTGGGATGTGTTTTATAGTGGAGCCCACTGTATTTGCTTATATGCAGTGCTTGGTGTGGAGTGAAAAGTAAAAAGTGACTCCTATGTTCTTGAGAACTCTGTAAAAAATGTTATTGTTTTAGTAAAGATTAGGAGGTATCATGGGCTGCATTGTTTTTACCCAAATTTGTATGTTGAAATCCTATCCCTGTACCTCAGAATATGATTGTGTTTGGAAAGAATTTCTTTTTATAGAGGTACCTAAATGAAAATTAGGCTATTAAGATGGTCCCAATCTAATCAGACTCCTGTTGTTATAAGAAAGGAACTTTTGGTCACATGGAGGGACACCAGGGGTGCATGTGTACAGAGAAACCCATGTGTGAAGACAAAACAAAAAAATAGCCAAGTCAAAGGGAAGAAGAGACATCTTAGAAGAACTGAACCTGTTAACACCTTGATCATGGGCTGTGAGTCCCCAGAACTGTGAGAAAATCAATTTCTGTTGTTAAATTACACAATGTGTGGTATTTTTTCAGGAGAGACATAACAAATTATGTCAGGGGAGAGCAGTTTTAAGACGCAGAAATCAAGACTCTTGTTTGAGACAATATATGTTTGCATCCATACTAGAAGGCAAGTGGATTGTTGAGAGCTTCAGCTGACTGAAACATGCCTGAGCTCTTGCTGCAGACCTGCTCCTTTCTTTGACCCACCCTCACTCACTGATAGAGTCTCTTTCGGCTCTTCTGTCACCTCCGTTTATTTGTATGTGAAGAGTTCATAGCTGATATTTATTCTTCCCTAATACACTAATCTCTTTCACTCATTGCTGACCTAGGAAAATGTCAGAGAAAGGGCCTGAGCTGAGTGATATTTGAAGGCAATGCCTCCTGTCTTCCTGTACTCACCAAGCCAAGGCAGAGTCTTTCTTTCACCAGGACTACCACTTCTACAGCAACCTATGCAATGAGGGAAGGCTGCAAAGCACTCCCGTCTGCTCCTTCCCTCTGATCATCCTTTCCTACTTGAAGGTCTACTGTAAGTCACTAGGCAGGACCATTTATCTCCAGTTTCTCTGTCCAAATGGAGTGTGTAGAAACCAATGACCATCATTCCAATAACATTAGCATGCCTGCTAGGCCAAGCAAATACTCTATGTCCCCCATAAAGCATATAAAGTCAAACTGCAACTGTTTTATTATTGGATAGCCAAAGAAGAATTTCTAACTGGTAATATATTTCCTCTTTAGCAAACATCCCTAATATTCTAGAGGAGTGGGGGAGGAAAACAACAATCTGCCTGATCACCAGCCGATGGCAGAGAAATCTGCAACAAACTTCATTGTATGAGGAGGCCTTCCAATAATATAAGGGGTATCCAAACTGTTTTTGGAAAATACATATTATTTTTTAAAAGTTTGCATTGATATAAACATTTTTTGTACAAAAGTACATTTGTACTAACTTGTTACATGTCTGAACAAGATCTAGTTCAGTTACTAACATGATTGAGAAAGCAGTTTGAAAACAGCTTCTATCAGAGCAACAAAAATTCCACTAAAATTTTAGGAAGAACAAATATCAAGTTTATGGTGAAGCTTGGGTGGAGAGATGGTGACATCACTGATGCATTAGGAAATATTTGTGGCCAAGTAAATCGGACCTTCACAAATGGATAACTCACTTTAAGAAGCAATGAGAGGAGATCCTTCCAAGATGGCCGAATAGGAACAACTCCAGTCTACAGCTCCCAGTGTGAGTGACGCAGAAGACAGGTGATTTCTGCATTTCCAACTAAGGCACCAAGTTCATCTCACTGGGACTGGTTAGACAGTGGGTGCAGCCCATAGAGTGTGAGCTGAAGCAGGGCGGGGCATTGCCTCACCAGGGAAGTGCAAGGGGTCAGGGAATTCCCTTTCCTAGCCAAGGGAAGCCATGAGAGACAGTACCTGGAAAATTGGGACACTATTGCCCTAATACTGCGCTTTTACATGGTCTTAGCCAACGGCACACCAGGAGATTATATCTTGTGTCTGGCTCAGTGGGTCCCATGCCCACAGAGCCTTGCTCACTGCTAGCACAGCAGTCCTAGATCAAACTGGGAGGTGGCAGTGAGGCTGGGGGATGGGCAGCCACCATTGCTGAGGCTTGACTAGGTAAACAAAGAGGCTCGGAAGCTCAAACGGGGTGGAGCCCACTGCAGCTCAATGAGGCCTGCCTGCCTCTGTAGACTCCACTTCTGGGAGCAAGGCACAGGTGAACAAAAGGCAGGAGAAACTTCTGAAGTCTTAAATGTCCCTGTCTGACAGCTTTGAAGAGAGTAGTTGTTCTCCCAGCACAGAGTTCGAGGGCTCAGAATGGACACATTGCCTCCTCCAGTGGGTCCCTGACCACCGAGTAGCCTAACTGGGAGACATCTCCCAGTAGGGGCCGACTGACACTTCATACAACCAGGTGCCCATCTGGGACAAAGCTTCCAGTGGAAGGATCAGGCAGCAACATTTGCTGTTCTGCAATATTTGCTGCTCTGCAGCCTCTGCTGGTGATACCCAGGCAAACAGGGTCTGGAGTGGACCTCCATCAAACTCCAGTAGAACTGCAGCTCAGGGTCCTGACTGTGAGAAGGAAAACTAACAAACAGAATGGAATAGCATCAACATCAACAAAAACAACATCTGCACCAAAACCCCATCTGTACATCACCATCATCAAAGACCAAAGGTAGATAAAACCACAAAGATGGGGAGAAACCAGAGAAGAAAAGCTGAAAATTCTAAAAACCGAGCATCTCTTCTCCTCCAAAGGATCGCAGCTCCTTGCCAGCAATGGAACAAAGCTGGACAGAAAATGACTTTGACAAGTTGACAGAAGTAGGCTTCAGAAGAATGGTAATAACAAACTTCCCTGAGCTAAAGGAGGATGTTTGAACCCATCACAATGAAGCTAAAAACCTTGAAAAAAGATGAGAAGAATGGCTACCTAGAATAAACAGCATAGAGAAGACCTTAAATGAACTGATGGAGCTGAAAACCATGGCACGAGAACTACATGACACATCCACAAGCTTCAGTGGCTGATTTGATCAAGTGGAAGAAAGGTTATCAGTGATGGAAGACCAAATGGAAGAAATGAAGTGAGAAGAAAGCTTAGAGAAAAAAGAGTAAAAAGAAACAAAGCCTCCAAGAAATATGGGACTATGTGAAAAGACCAAATCTACATTTGATTGGTGTATCCGAAAGTGATGGGGAGAATGGAACCAAGTTGAAAAACACTCTGCAGGATATTATCCAGGAGAACTTCCTCAACATAGTAAGGCAGGCCAATATTCAAATTCAGGAAATACAGAGAACGCCACAGAGATACCCCTCGAGAAGAGCAACCCCAAGACACATAATTGTCAGATTCACCAAGGTTGAAATGAAAGAAAAAATGTTAAGGGCAGCCAGAGAGAAAGGTCAGGTTACCCACAAAGGGAAGCCCATCAGACTAACAGCTGATCTCTCGGCAGGAATTCTACAAGCCAGAAGAGAGTGGGGACCAATATTCAACATTCTTAAAGAGAAGGATTTTCAACCCAGAATTTCATATCCAGCCAAACTAAGCTTCATAAGTGAAGGAGAAATAAAATCCTTTACAGGCAAGCAAATGCTGAGAGATTTTGTCACCACCAGGCTTGCCTTACAAGAGCTCTTGAAGGAAGCACTAAACATGGAAAGGAACAACCGGTACCAGCAACAGCAAAAACATGCCAAATTGTAAAGACTATCATTACCAGGAAGAAACTGCATCAACTAATGTGCAAAATAACCAGCTAACATCATAATGACAGGATCAAATTCACACATAACAATATTAACCTTAAATGTAAATGGGATAAATGCTGCAATTAAAAGACACAGACTGGCAAATTGGATAGAGTCAAGACCCATCAATGTGCTGTATTCAGGAGACCCATCTCATGTGCAGACACACATAGGTTCAAAATAAAGGGATGGAGGAAGATCTACCAAGTAAATGGAAAACAAAAAACGCAGGGGTTGCAATCCTAGTCTCTGATAAAACAGACTTTAACCAACAAAGATCAAAAGAAACAAAGAAGGCCATTACATAATGGTAAAGGGATCAATTCAACAAGAAGAGCTAACTATCTTAAATATGTATGCACCCAATACAGGAGCACTCAGATTCATAAAGCAAGTCCTTAGAGACCTACAAAGAGACTTAAACTCCCACACAATAATAATAGGAGACTTAACACCCCTCTGTCAACATTAGACAGATCAACAAGACAGAAAGTTAACAAGGATATCCAGGACTTGACCTCAACTCTGCACCAAGCAGGCCTAATAGACATCTACAGATCTTTCCACCCTAAATCAACAGAATATACATTCTTCTCAGCACCACACCACACTTATTCCAAAATTGACCACATAGTTGGAGGTAAAGCACTCCTCAGCAAATGTAAAAGAACAGAAATCATAAAAAACTGTCTCTCAGACCACAGTGCAATCAAATTAGAACTCAGGATAAAAAACTCACTCAAAACCACACAACTACACGCAAACTGAACAACCTGTTCCTGAATGATTACTGGGTACATAACGAAATGAAGGCAGAAATAATGATGTTCTTTGAAGCCAATGAGAACGAAGACACACTGTACCAGAATCTCTGGGACACATTTAAAGCAGTGTGGAGAGGGCAATTTATAGCACTAAATCACAGGAGAAAGCAGGAAAGATCTAAAATCCGTACCCTGACATCACAATGAAAAGAAATAGAGAAGCAAGAGCAAACACATTCAAAAGCTAGCAGAAGGCAAGAAGTAACTAAGATCAGAGCAGAACTGAAGGAGATAGAGACAGAAAAAACCCTTCAAAAAATAGTTGAATCCAGGAGCTGGTTTTTTGAAAAGATCAACAAAATTGACAGACTGCTAGCAAGACTAATAAAGAAGAAAAGAGAAGAATCAAATAGATGCAATAAAAAATGATAAAGGGGATATCACCACCGATCCCACAGAAATACAAACTACCATCAGAGAATACTATAAACACCTCTATGAAAATAAACTAGAACATCTAGAAGAAATGGATAAATTCCTGGACACATACACCCTCTCAAGACTAAACCAGGAAGGAGTTGAATCCTGAATAGACCAATAACAGGCTCTGAAATTGAGGTAATAATTAATAGCCTACCAACCAGAAAGAAGTCCAGGGCCAGATGGATTCCCAGCCGAATTCTATGAGAGTTACAAACAGGAGCTGGTCCCATTCCTTCTGAAACTATTCCAATCAATAGAAAAAGAGGGAATTCTCCTTAACTCATTTTTTTGAGGCTAGTATCATCCTGATACCAAAGCCTGGGAGAGGCGAAACAAAAAAGGAAATTTTAGACGAATATCCCTGATGAACATAGAAGCAAAAATCCTCAATAAAATACTGGCAAACCGAATGCAGCAGCACATCAAAAAGCTTATCCACCATGATCAAGAGGGCTTCATCCCTGGGATGCAAGGCCGGTTCAACATACTCAAATCAATAAACATAATCCATCATATAAACAGAACCAAAGATAAAAACCACATGATTATCTCAATAGATGCAGAAAAGGCCTTTGACAAAATTCAGCAGCCCTTCATGCTAAAAACTCTCAATAAACCAGGTATTGATGGGGTGTATCTCAAAATAATGAGTTATTTATGACAAACCCACAGCCAATATCATACTGAATGGGCAAAAACTGGAAGTATTCCCTTTGAAAACTGGCACAAGACAGGGATGCCCTTTCTCACCACTCCTATTTAATATGGTGTTGGAAGTTCTGGCCAGGGCAATCAGGCAGGAGAAAGAAATAAAGGGTATTCCACTAGGAAAAGAGGAAGTCAAATTGTCCCTGTTTGCAGATGACATGATTGTATATTTAGAAAACCCCATCGTCTCAGCCCAAAATCTCCTTAAGCTGATAAGCAACTTTAGCAAAGTCTCAGGATACAAAATCAATGTGCAAAAATCACAAGCATTCCTATACACCAATAACAGACAAACAGAGAGCCAAATCATGAGTGAATTCCCCTTCACAATTGCTTCAGAGAATAAAATCCCTAGGAATCCAACTTACAAGGGATGTGAAGGACCTCTTCAAGGATAACTACAAACCACTGCTCAACAAAATAAAAGAGGACACAAATAAATGGAAGAACATTTCATGCTCATGGATAGGAAGAATCAATATTGTGAAAATGGCCATGCTGCCCAAGGTAATTTATAGATTCAATGCCATCCCCATCAAGCTACCAATGACTTTCTTCACAGAATTGGAAAAAACTACTTTAAAGTTCATATGGAAAAAAAATGAGCCCACATTGCCAAGAGAATCCTAAGGCAAAAGAACAAAGCTGGAGGCATCACACTACCTGACCTCAAACTATACTACAAGGCTACAGTAACCAAAACAGCATGGTACTGGTACCAAAACAGAGATATAGACCAATGGAACAGAACAGAGCCCTCAGAAATAATACCAGACATCTACAACCATCTGATCTTTGACAAACCTGATGAAAACAAGAAATAGGGATAGGATTCCCTATTTAATAAATGGTGCTGGGAAAACAGGCTAGCCATATGTAGAAAGCTGAAACTGGATCCCTTCCTTACACCTTGTACAAAAATTAATTCAAGATGTTTTAAAGACTTAAATGTTAGACCTAAAACCATAAAAACCCTAGAAAAAAACCTAGGCAATACAATTCAGGACATAGGCATGGGTAAAGACTTCATGTCTAAAACACCAAAAGAAACAGCAACAAAAGCCAAAAATGACAAATGGGATCTAATTAAGGTAAAGAGCTCTGCACAGCAAAAGAAACTACCATCAGAGTGAAGAGGCAACCTCCAGAATGGAAAAAAATTTTTGCAATCTACCCATCTGACAAATGGATAATACCCAGAATCTGCAAATAACTTAAACAAATTTACAAGAAAAAAATCAAACAACCCCATCAAAACGTGAGTGAAGGATATGAACAGACACTTCTCAAAAGAAGACATTTATGCAGCCAACAGACGCATGAAAAAATGCTCATCATCACTGGCCATTAGAGAAATGGAAATCAAAACCACAATAAGATACCATCTCACACCAGTTAGAATGGCAATCATTAAAAAGTCAGGAAACAACAGGTGCTGGAGAGGATGTGGAGAAACAGGAACACTTTTACACTGTTGGTGGAAGTGTAAACTAGTTCAACCATTGTGGAAGACAGTGTGGCAATTCCTCAAGGATCTAGAACTAGAAGTACCATTTGACCTAGTGATCCCATTACTGGGTATATTCCCAAAGGATTAAAAATCATGCTACTATAAATACACATGCACATGTATGTTTATTGCAGCAGTGTTCACAATAGCAAAGACTTGGAGCCAACCCAAATGTCCATCAATGATAGACTGGATTAAGAAAATGTGGCACATGTACACCATGGAATACTATGCAGCCATAAAAAGGGATGAGTTCATATCCTTTGTTGGGATATAGATGAAGTTGGAAACCATCATTCTGAGCAAACTATCGCAAGGACAGAAAACCAAACATGGCATATTCTTACTCATAGTTGGGAATTGAACAATGAGAACACTTGGACACAGGGTGGGGAACATCACACACCGGGGCCTGTAATGGGGTGGGAGGATGGGGGATGGATAGCATTAGGAGAAATACCTAATGTAAATGATGAGTTAGTGGGTGCAGCACACCAACATTGAACATGTATACATATGTAACAAACCTGCACGTTGTGCTCATGTACCCTATAAATTAAAGTATAATAATAAAAAAAGATAAAGGTCTTGACATTAAAAAAAAAAAAGAAGCGATGAGGTGATGGTGAAGGTGAACCTTGCAGCAGCAGACCATTCACATAAACTTACGGGGAAAAATTTTATCTTCTTTTGGCCTAATTGAAGAGGTCTGACAATGAACAGCAGAAACAAGAGCCAGCAGCAGAAGAAGATCAATTGGTTCAGATTACATAATTTTTCTGTCTGAAAAACTAAAGTTGAGCAAACCATCCACTTGATGAGGGCCAAAACTGCTGTACCTAAGTCAGCTACAGACAAGAACAGAAAGTTCTGTGACAAATTAAACAAGTAGGAAGGAAAAGAAAAGAAAAGATCCTAAAGCATTTATTTGAAGAGTTGTAATAGGAAATCAAACGTGGCTTTACCAGTGGCATTCGAAGGGACAAACGTAATCAAAGCAATGGCTATCAAGAGGTGGAAGTGGTCTAGTCTAAGTAAATGCGACAAAAGCATATCATGCCAACAGTGTTTTTTGGATGCTCAAGGTATTTTGGTTGTTAACTTTCTGTAAGGTCAAAGCATGGTAACAACCACTTATAAGAGAGTTTGGAGGTTGGAGAGATTTATCAAATCTTTAGCAGAAAAATGGATGAGATTGGATGCCTAGTGATTTTCCATCAAAAGTCTGGTAAAATTGCCCTTATTTCATAAGAGGAATGAGCAGGAGCATTGTTGTGATGGACAAGGAACCTCTGCTGAAGCTTTTCTGGGCATTTATCTGCTAAAGTTTTGGCTGTCTCTGAAGTGTCTCAGAAGTTGATGTTGTCAGTCTAAGAGATGTAACTTAGAAATGGAAAACCAAACATCATATGTACTCAGTCATAAATGGGAGCTAATCTATGAGGATGCAAAGGCATAAGAATGACACAATGGACTTAGGGAACTCAGAGGGAAATGCTGAGAAGGAGGTGATGAATAAAAGACTACAAATTGGGTGCAATGTCTACCCCTCGGGTGGTGGGCGCACCAAAATCTCACAAATCAGCACTAAAGAACTTATTCAAGTAACCAAACACCACCTGTTTCCCAAACTATGGAAGTAAAAAAGAAAAGAAAAAAGAAAAAAAAGAAAATCACTGGGCATCCAACTTACATTTACTGATGCAGTATCTTTGGACTTCTTTTCTTTTACTAAGATTAAAATATCTTTAATGTGTATGCTGTTTTCTTCAGTTATCAATGTGAAAAGACAGCCTTTATATGGGGAAATTCCCAGGACCCTCAATTCTTTATAGATAGGCTAAATTACTTGTGTCATTACTTGCAAACCTTCTTGAATGCGGTGGAGCTTATATTAAGAAATAAAGTTTATATAATGTCTAATTTCATATTGTAATTGCATTCTTCCACAAACTTTTTGAAATCCCTTGTATTTCAAACCCATCTGGAAGAGCAGGATCAGATTCTAATGTGTACAACACAGGATCCTCTCATCCAACTGATCAAGTGGCCTGTCTTTAGGATTTCCAGTCACATCCCCACACACAATACCTCTAAGAAGGTATCCTGAAGTTATCACTATCCCTGACCAAAAACTGAATGATGGCACAAGACTTATTCAAGGCCTGAAATGATAAGTGGCAGCTGTTAATACTGACTAACCTATACTTTCCATGAAAAAGATGAAATGATGGGCAGGAACTACTTGATATAACAGAAAAGTCAGCAGATTAAAAGAGAGCGACCAACACAAACTCAGTTAAAAGACTTTGGAAAGACAGTATATTGATCCAAATTAAAAAAAAAAAATGAAAGGAGTAAACAGAATTATAGATGCTTACTTAGAAGATTAGATTTCAAAAATTTCCCAAATTTATTTAAAAAGAAGCCAGATATAAGATGAAAAATAAACACAGGGAAGATTATTTAGAACACAAAATGTGAGCAAATACGTTTTAGAAAGAGAGTGGTGAGAAATTAGTTTCAGAATATTGCAAAAATGAAAAAAATTTCTGTGTGGAAGAACAATCTGGGAGACACATAGCACAGGTACTAAGAAATAGATCAATGCAATACCCTTGAGGCTTTTATGTGGGTTCCAGGCTGTCTTACTGGAATATATAATTGTGGCCACTCATTATAAGTGGGAGTGATGAAAAATTTTTCCTAGAAGAACTGAATGTGGTGACTCATGCCTGTTATCCCAGGACTTTGGGAGGGTGAGGTGAGTGGATCCCTTGAGGCCAGGAGTTCAAGACCAGCCTGAGCAACAAATTTTGGCTCCATCTCTTCAAAAAAATTTTAAAATAAATTAAAAAAAAATGGGCATGGTGGGTGTCATGAACCTGTAATTCAAGCAACTCAAGAGGCTGAAGTAGGGGGAATCCCCTGAGCATAGGAGCTCAAGGATGCTCTAAGCCATGATCACAACACCAACTCCAGCCTGGGTGACAGAGAGAGAGCCTGTATATATATGTGTGTGTGTGTGTGTGTGTGTGTGTGTGTGTGTGTGTGTATGCTCACATATATAGGTGTATATATATATATGCTCACATATATATGTGTATATATATATGCTCACATATATGTGTATATATATATGCTCACATATATATGTGTGTATATATATATGCTCACATATATATGTGAGCATATATATATGCTCGCATATATATGTGTGTGTATATATATATATATGCTCGCATATATATGTGTGTATATATATAAAATCCTGTAAGACGTAAAGCCCAAACTGAATCTGATCAAACATTCTAATAAAGGGATAAAGAGGTAGAGCAAGGAAAAATTCTTAAAGACATGTAATAGGATGGCTCATTCAAGAGCTTGTATTCATTCTGTTCATTTCTAGAAACCTCTGGTAGTTTTTGTGTCCAACTTTGTTTTAACCTCTCCATGAATTTTAATAATAGAATACGTTAAGACACCTGTATTCTACAACACCAAGACTTTTCTGACTAGAGCCAGATCCAAAGAATATTGGACAATCTGTGTGGGTCTGACCAGGCTGAGGGCAACCTTCTGTCAGCCATGAATGGCTAGGTTTGTGTTGTCTGCACACAGCTCAAAGTTCCAAAGAAATAATCTCTATATAATCAAATATTTAGTGAAATATGATAGGCATAGGTATACAAAACTCCACAGCCAACATCTTGTTCCTTAGAATATGATTGTGTTTAGAAAACAGCCCTAAGAAGAGGTGATCAAGCTAAAATGAGGGAGTTTCAGTGGAACTAAATCCAGTAAGATGAGTGTCCTTAGAAGGAGTGGAAATTCCTTCTGAGAACTGGAAATGTGCACACAGAGAGACACAAGAAGTATGTAGGCACAGACGCAGCCCCATGGGAGAACCCAGCAAGAAGGCAGATATCTAGATGCCAAGCAAACAGGGCCCAGAAGAACTGAACCTGCTGACACCTTCATCATGGAACTTGAGAATCCAGAAGTGTTGAAAAGTAATTTCTGTTGCTTAAGAATATTAGTCTGTGATATTTTGTTTGGACAGCTATTATAAAGAAATTCAGGGGAGAGCAGGTTTTAGGAGGTAGAAATCAAGAGTCCTGCTTGGCACATGGTAAATTTACATTATTTTAAATGGCAAGTGGATTGCTGAGGTCCTTGACTCATGGACAAGTGCCTAAGCTTTTGTTGCAGTCTTGCTCCTTGCTTTGACCCCATCCTAAATCAGTGACACTGTCTCCTTCAGTTCTTTGGTAACCTCTGTTTTGGTTGTCTCTGGTAGCTTGATATCTGAAATTTACTCCTTCCTGATACACTAATCTCTTTCACTCATTTCTGACATAGGAGAAGGTCAGGGTGTGAGCTGAGTGACATTTGGAAGCATCACCTCTTCCCTTGCTGTACTCAGCAAAAAGAAGTGCTTGAGTTCAATTGAACTTTGAGCAAATGGGGAGCAAAAGATGAAAAGTTAGGAAGACGTTGTGGATAAGTCCCTTGGGACCCACTCAGTGAACTTTTCTGTTGTTTTTTAATTTTGTAAGTGTGTATTATGTGAAATACTTATACTCTTATAAGAGCCAAGGAGAATCATCCACGTAGAAGCTCCAAGTAGAATAATGTCAACGGGACAAACCCATCTGCCAGTGGAGCCAGGGGTGGATCATGATGTAGCCTGAGTGCCTCCACCCTTCAATGTCCAAAGCTCACCTTGTTGAACTTTATGTGTATTGTAAACAGAGAAAAATGCCTATTGAGGCATAAAATAGAAAATTACTCAATATACTTTTACAAACCATAAACAATTGACTAATTCTTAATGAAGGGTATAATCAAAATATGACAACCTTGAAACAACTTGGATATGGAAATGATCAGACTTTAAAGCAGCTCTTATAGCCATCTTTTTTGAGGTAAATGTGAGCATGCTCAAAATAAATGGGAAAGAACTTCTCAGCAGAAGAAGGAACTATAAAAAATAATAAAATAGAAATTTCAGAACTGACATATATAATGACTAAAATTTGAAAAAAGACCGTATAGACTGTGAAAATTTTTCAGAAAGTAAATGATTGAGGTGTGTGAAGACAGAAAAACTAAATTAGCCAAGTCAAATCCAAGAAGAGACATCTTAGAACTCAACCTGTTAACACCTTCCTCATGGACTGTGAACCTCCAGAACTGTGAGAAAATCAATTTCTGTTGTTCAAATTACACAGTGTGTGGTATTTTTTTTAGGGCAGACATAACAAACTACATCAGGGGAGAGGAGTTTTGGATGCAGAAATCAAGACTCTGTTTTGGGACATGTTATGTTTGCATCCATATTAGAAGGCAAGTGGATTGCTGAGAGCTTCAACTGACCAAAAGGTGCCAGAGCTCCTGCTGCAGACCTGCTCCCTGCTTTAACCCCATCCTCACTGACTGACAGGGCCTCTTTCAGCTCTTCTGTCATCTCTGTTTTATTTGTGTGTGGAGAGTTCATAGCTAATATTTATTCTTCCCTAATACACGAATCTCTTTCACTCATTGCTGACATTGGACAATGTCAGAGAAAGGGCCTGAGCTGAGTGATATTTGAAGGCAATGCCTGCTGTCTTCCTGTACTCACCAAGCCAAGGGGGAGTCTTTTTTTCACCAGGACTACCACTTCTACAGCAAACTATGCAATGAGGCAAGTCTGTGAGGCACTCCCCTCGGTGCCTTCCCTCTGATCTTCCTTTCCTACTTGAAGGTCTACCATAAGTCACTAAGCAGTACCATTCATCTCCAGTTTCCCTGTGCAATTAGTGTGTGTAGTGTGTGTAGAAAGCAATGACAGTCATCCCAATATCATTAGGGCACCTGCTAGGCCAAGCAACTACTTTATGCCCACCCAAAGCACATAAACCCAAACTACAACTGTTTTATTATTGCATAGCCAAAGCAGAATTACTAACTGGTAATATATTTCCTCTTTAGCAAACATCCCTAATATTCCAGAAGGGGTAGGGGAGGAAAACAGCAATCTGCCTGATCACCAGCCAATGGCAGAGTAATCTGTAACAAACCTCGTTGTATGAGGGAGGCTTCTAATAATATAAGGCATCTTCAAAATGTTAGTGGAAAAAACATATTTTTTAAAAATTATGCATGGATATAAATATTTTTTGTACCAAAACACATTTGTACTAACTTGTTACAACATGTCTGAACAGGATCTTGTTCAGTCACTAATATGGTTGAGAAAGTAGTTTGAAAACAGCCTCTATCAGAGCAGTAAATATTCTACTAAAATTTTAGGAAGAACAAATATCAAGTTTATGGTGAAGCTTGGGTGGAGAAATGGTGACATCACTAATGCATTAGGACATATGTGTGCACAAGTAAATCAGCCCTTCACAAATGGATAACTCACTTTAAGAACTGATGAGATAATGGTCAAGTTAAACCTTGCAGCATCAGACCATACACACCAACTTATGGGCAAAACTTTTTTCTTCTTTTGGCCTAATTGAAGAGGCCTGACAATTAAAAACAGGAACAAGAGCTAGCACAAGAAGATCAATTGGTTCAGGTTACATAACTTTTTCTGATTGAAAAATTAAACTTGAGCAAACTATCCACTTGGTGAGGGCCAAAACTACTGTACCTAAGGCAGCTACAGACAAGAACAGAACGTTCAATGAAAAATTAAGCAAGTAGGAAGGAGAAGAAAAGAAAAGAAAAGATCCTAAGCATGTCTTTGAGGAGTTCTAACAGGAAATCAAAAGTGGCTTTACCAGTGCCACTCGAAGGGAAAAACACAGTCAAAGCAATGGCTACGAAGAGGTGGAAGTGATCTAGTCTAAGTAAATGTGACAAAAGCAAATATCATGCCACAGTGTTCTTGGATGCTCAAGGTATTTTGGTTGTTAACTTTCGGGAGGGACCAAGAATGATAACACCGACTTATGAAAGAGTTTGGTATTTGGAGAAAGTTAGCCAAAACTTTAGCAGATATATGGATGAAATTGAATGCCTAGTGATTTCCATCAAAAATCTGGCAAATTGCCCCTGTTTCATGAAAGGAATGAGCAGAAGCATTATTGTGATGGACAAGGAGTCTGCTAAGGCCTTTCTGGGCATTTATCTGCTAAAGTTTTGCCTAACTTTCTCCAATCTTTTGATGTTATCATTCTAAGTGAAGAAACTTAGGACTGGAAAACCAAACATCATATGTTCTCACTCATAAATGGGAGCTGAACTATGAGGATGCAAAGGCATAAGAATGACATAATAGACTTTGGGAACTCAGGGGGAAAGAGTCGGAAAGAGGTGAGGGATAAAAGACTATAAATTGGGTGCGGTGTATACTGCCCAGATGATGGGTGCAACAAAATCTCACAAATCACCACTCAAGAACTTATATACATAACCAAACACCACCTGTTCCCCAACCTATGTAAATAAAACAGAAAAGAAAAAAAAGAAAATCACTAGGCATCCAACTTACAGTACTGATGCAGTACCTTTGAACTTCTTTTTTTCTAATATTAAAATATCTTTAAAGTGTACTCTGTTTTCTTCAGTTAATAATGTGAAAAGACTGCATTAATATGGTGAAATTCCCAGGTCCCTCTATTCTTTGTAGATAGGCTAAATTTCTTGTGTCATTACTTGCAACACTTCTTGAATGTGATGGAGCTTATGTTAAGAAATAAAGTTTATATTGTCTACTTTCATATTGTAATTACATTCTTCCACAAATTTTTTGAAATCCCCTTGTATTCTCAAACCCTTCTGGAAGAGCAGGAACAGATTCTTATGTGTACAACACAGGATCCTCTCATCCAACTGATCAAGTGGCCTGTCTTTAGGATGTCCAGTCACATCCCCACACACAATACCTCTAACAAGGTCATCTGAAATTATCACTATCCTTGAACAAAAACTGAATGACAGTATGAGACTTATTCAAGGCCTGAAATGATAAGTGGCAGCTGTTGATACTGACTCACCTATACCTTCCATGAAAAGGGTGAAAGAATGGGCAGGAACTACTTGATATAACAGAAAAGTCAGCAGATGAAAAGAGAGCTACTAAAACAAACTCAGTAAGAAGACCTTGGAAACACAGTATGTTGATCCAAATTTAAAAAAAAAATGAAAAGAAAGGAGTAAGAAGAATTGTAGATGCTCACTTAGAGATTAGATTTAAAAAATTTTCCCAAATTTTATTTAAAAAGAAGCCAGATGTAAGATGAAAAATAAACACAGGGAAATTTGATTTAGAACACAAAATGTCAACAAATACATTTTAGAAAGAGAGTCTGGAGAAATTCGTTTCAGAATATTGCAAAAATGAAAAAAATTTCTTTGTGGAAGAACAATCTGGGAGACAGATAGCACAGGTACTAAGAAATAGATCAATGCAATACTCTTGAGGCTTTTATGTGGGTACCCCCAGACTATCTTATTGGAATATATAATTGTGGCAACTCATTATAAGTGGGAGTTACTAAAAACATTTCCTGGAAGAATGACTGAACATGGTGACTCATGCCTGTTATCCCAGGACTTTGGAAGAGTGAGGTGGGAGGATCCCTTGAGGCCACGAGTTCAAGACCAGCCTGAGCAACAAAGTGAGGCTCCATCTCTTCAAAAAAAAAAAAAATTAAAATAAAAAAATGGGCATTGTGGGTGTCATGAACCTGTAATTCAAGCCACTCAAGAGTCTGAAGCTGGGGGAATCCCCTGACCACAGGGGTTCAAGGATGCTGTGAGCCATGATTGAGATACCACACTCCAGCCTGGGTGACAGAGCAAGCGTCTGTATATATATAAAAAAAATCCTAAAAGATGTAAAGCCCAAACTAAATCTGATCTAACATTCTAACAAAGGGGTAGAGCAAGGAAAAAATTTTAAAGGCATGAAATAGGATGTCTCATTAAAGAACTGTGTATTCATTCTGTTCATTTTTAGAACCCCTTGGTAGATTTTGTGGCCAACTTTGTTTTAACCTCCCCATGAGTATTAATAATGGAATGCATGAAGACACCTGTATCCTACAACACCAAGACTTTGCTGACTAGAGCCAGATCCAAAGAATATTACACAATCTGTGTGGGCCTGAGCAGGGTTAGGGCCAACCTTCTGTCAGCCATGAATGGCCAGGTTTGTGTTGTCTTCACACAGCTCAAAGTTCCAAAGAAATGTCTCTATATAATCAAACATTTAGCGAAATATGATAGGCATGGGTATACAAAAATCCATAGCCAACCTCTTGTTCCTTAGAATATCATTGTGTTTAAAAAACAGCCCTAAGAAGAGGTGATCAAGCTAAAATGAGGGAGTTTCAGTGGAACTAAATCTAATAAGATTGCTGCCCTTATAAGAAGTGGAATTTCCTTATAAGAGCTGGAAACTTGCACAAGGAGAGACACAAGAATTATGTATGTATAGAAGCAGCCCCATGGGAAACACAGCAAGAAGGCAGATATGTAGATGGCAAGAAGGCAGGGCCCAGAAGAACTGAACCTGCTGACACCTTCATCGTGGAACTTGAGCATCCAGAAGTGCTGAAAAGGAATTTCTGTTGTTGAAGAATACTTAGTCTGTGATATTTTGTTTTGACAGCCATAATGAAGAAAGGCAGGGGAGAGCAGGTTTTAGGAGGTAGAAATCAAGAGTCTTTCTTGGCACATAGTAAGTTTACATTTATTTTAAATGGCAAGTGGGCTGCTGAAGTCCTTGACTCATGGACAAGTGCCTAAGTTCTTGTTGGCAGTCCTTCTCCTTGCTTTGACCTCATCCTAAGTGACACTGTCTCCTTCAGTTCTTTGGTAACCTCTGTTTTGGTTGTCTCTGGTAGCTTGATACCTGATATATACTCCTTCCTGATATGCTAATCTCTTTCACGCATTTCTGACATAGGAGAAGGCCAGGAATAAAGCATGAGCTGAGTGATATTTGGAAGCATCATGTCTTGTCTTCCTATACTCTGCAGATGAGGAGTAGCCTGCCTCTAACCAGGACTGCAGCTTCCCCAGTGACTCCCACAAGTAGGCACATTTGCCTGGCACTCCCCTCTGCTTCTCTCTTGCATTTGTTCCCTACCTGACAGGCCACCATAAGCTAGCTAGGACAGACTGCACAACGCCAGCTTCTCTTTCCAAATAATGTTTGGTGAAACCAGAGAAAATCACTCAATAACATCAGAACACCCGCTAGGCCCAAGCACTCTGTGTCTCTCTTGAAGCATGTAAATCTCAGTTACAAATGTTACACTTTCCATGTAGCTGGAGAATATTTGGTCACTGGTATTATATTCTGTCTTCAGAAAACATTCTTAGTTATTCTAATAGAAAAACAAGAAACCAATTTGCCTAGTCAGCTGGAAAAGTCTAAGTTACCTCTAGTAGACCTTCTTGTGTTAGGATGCCTTCCTATATGCAGTGGGTTGTTAAAATGTTGATGAAAAATGTATGTCCTATTAAGAAATACCTTGAATGGGCCAGGCGCAGTGGCTCAAGCCTGTAATCCTAGCACTTTGGGAGGCGGAGGTTGGTGGAACATGAGGTCAGGAGAACGAGATCATCCTTGAAATCCTGTCTCTACTAAAAATACAAAAAATTAGCCAGGCCTGGTTGCCGGCACCTGTAGTCCCAGCTACTCAGGAAGCAGAGGCAGGAGAATGGTGTGAACCCAGGAGGTGGAGCTTGCAGTGAGCAGAGAGACCTTGCCACTGCACTCCAGTCTGGGCGACAGAGTGAGACTCCATCTCAAAATAAAAAAAAAAAAAAAAAGAAAAAGAAATACCATGAATAGATTCCAAGTTTTTTTGGCCCGAAATGAAATCAGAATGTTTCGCTATAACATGTCTGAACAGGAGCTAGTTTGAGGCATCAAGAAAAATAAGGTAGCAGTTTCAAAAGAGTCCCTAGAAAAGCAACATGAATTCTTCTAAAATTAGAGTTCAAACATCAAATTTATGGTGAAGCTTGGGTGGAAGAAGATGAAATCATTGATGGTGTCCAAAAAGTTGTCCTACTTGGCACATGGTAAGTTGACATTGGTTGAAGAAGTCAGCAGTTCACAAATTCAATGAGGAGTTCCTCATTTCAAGAAGGAATGAGGCAATGTTGAACCTAAAACCTACAGTGACAGATGTCCCATGTCATGCTGCAAGGTATACATTCATCTTCTTTATACCCTAAGAGAAGATGTCCGATGATTAGCAGCACACACAATAGCTAACATTGCAGACTTCTCAGTTGGTTCAGTTTACATCATTCTAACTGAATGATTAAATTTTAGTAAACTTTTCACTTAATGGATACCCAACCTGTCTCACCAAGATCAAGTACAGAGAAGAGCAGAACTTTCCCTAAAAATCTAAATATGAGCAATGAAGACTGTAAGCACATCTTCGATGAGTTATAACAGGAGACAACACGTGACTTTACCAGTAAAACCCAGAAAACAAATACAATCAAAGCAATGGCTACCAGGAGGTGGAAAAGTCCAGTCAAAGCAACAGTGGATGAGGAGAGCACAAAGGTCATGGCAAGAGTTTATTGGAAACCTCAAGTCATTTTGCTGGTTCACTTTCTGGAGAATGACAGTATCTGCTTATTCTGAGAATATTTTGAGAAAGCCAAAGCTTTAGTAGATGAATCCCAGGGAAAGCGTCAGCAGAGACCTTCAGCATGACCTTGCTCCTGCTGGTTTCTCTTATCAAACAGGGAAATTATATGAGTGTTCTGATGGAAAGTCATTAGGCTTGCACATTACAACCCTAATTTGATTCTTTTGGATTTCTTTTTGTTTTGTAATCTTATAACGTTTGTAAAAGGCATCCATTTTTCTTCAGTTAATCATGTAAAAAATACATATCAATAGCTGGAATGTTGACCAAAATGTATAACAAGTGGTCAATAAATCTTCTAATTTTATATAACTCATTAACAAGTAGGGTTGGGAAATGGTTGTAAACTGAGTACCAGGTGGTAGAATTGAAACAAACTTTCCATGTAACACTTTTAGTTTTTCCTCCATTCCAAAGATAACAGGAGGTAAAGCGTTAAAGATCCCCCAAAGCTGTTGCACACATTTGGGGAGTCTTAAAATTCAGGTGTTTATTCAGTTGAGTCTTAGGCTGTGGCTGCAAACTGGACCTGTCCTCATGAGCTACCACCATATTCTCTCTTGTCCCCAAGAGTGGACGCGGCTAAGCAAACATGATGCCTGGGTGAGAAGGGTACAAAATGGGAGCAGAGTTCCAGAGTCTTGCTTAGTAAGTCTGTTGTAGAATCCCTCCCAAGGAAAACCAAAGAGCAGGTATAAAGAAAGAATACAAAAATCTGTGGCCTTCCCTGGTGTTCCAGTCATGGACTCTTCAGAATAAACAACAGTGGTATGTCCTATAAATCAGGGAAGGAGTGTTTTCATTTAAAGAGAAAACCTCTGGGGAAATAAATGACTCTTCCTATTAAAAATCAAAGAAACTCCATGTGTTGGTAATTGCCACAGTCAGCACCATCTCTGGATACACAGGTGTGGAGACAGATGGGCCCAGGACACTAGCAGAAATGCCCAAATGGATTAGGGTCATGAAACTGCCCTTGCTTTTATAGTCAAACATGCGAATTGTCCTTACCCCACTGTAAGTTGTAAAGGAAAGATCACATTGCTAACATTGACCATTCCTTCCATGCTTAGACGTAGAAACACTACAAATACTAAGTGAAGGCACCATTCTGCAGGGAGTGTGTTCTTCAAAGGAAAAACTAGTGGAAGAGCAAGAATCTAAAGGCATACCTCATTTCAATTGGTCCCTCAGTCACCACTAAAGTACATTCTTTAGATTCCACCATGTACAATCTGCAATTCCACAGTACATTTATAGCAGTGCTGGAAGATAGCCATTATTTGTAGACATAAGAATCAGATTATTTAGAAATTTGCTTCTATAGCATTTCCCAAGTCTTCTTTTCAGAAAAAAATTCAGATATCCCTCAAACAATTGGAGTTTGTTTTAGGGAGAAGGTGGTCTTGAAATCTTATAATCCCCATGGGTAAGTGCAAGACATAAAAATACATAAAAGCTTGAGTAAAGGAGTTGGTACAAAGAAGACCACTGCTAGTTTACATCTCTTTTTATTCTGTTCACTCTAAACAGGGTCGTGTAAAGGGTCTGTGCACATGAAGGACCCCAAAGTTCAAGCTTCAGAAGCTTTGTAAATCATCCCAATCTGACAAAAGCCATATGTCAATCTTGTTGGGATGACTAGTTAAATAAGCCTTTAATTGCTGAACAAAAATGCACATGGGCATGTTTCAATCAAGAAAATGTGAATATAGACCAAAGTTTAGCTAAAAAATAAGGTTAGTAAAAATGTAAGATAAATTCGAACTCTTCATGTATCATGTCATAAACTTCTGTTTCTGACTATGTCTGTTTATGAAAAGGCACAAAAGGTTTTTTTTATAATATGGAGAGATTTGCTTTGGCAGTTCTAAAGATGGATAAGTAATAGACTTGAAACAACATACATTTGTTATTAAAAAATTACATTTGTTAGACTATTAGAGTGTAAAAATGTATTCATCATTTAAAATTGTTGCTAGATGTTTACTCAATAACGTTGTAAAAAATAAACATGTGATTATCAAGTCATGGTCCTGTTACATTTAATGCAGCCAGGGAAGAAAAGACAGCAGCAGATTCTTCTGATAAAATGAGGAACACAGGTAATAGCAATCTGCCTTGTAGATTCACTTGAATACACTTAAATAGAAAGAGACATAAACAAAAAGGTCATCTGTAGAACCTGCTATAAACTGTGATAAGGAATTTGTCTCTAGACTCAGGGTACTGGAATGCACAGTGCATTGAACACATGGACTGATTTCTGCTCTTTCCCAATGTCCTAATAAAATTAAAATAAAGAAGCACAGAGGAAATTAATACCCAAGGATGAAGAGAATGAAAGAAGAGATGACAATAAACAATAAATTTAAACAAAACTGTGGAATTGGAATGACAAATAGAAAAATAACAGAGTTTGTAAATCAGCAAAGCTGAAATCAGACATGAAGAGGGGACCGTGGTGCAATTTTCACCAGAACACCTGGAAAACTAGTCCTATTTGAATATTGCATTTCACTGTGCTGAAATTTACATGTACATACATTTTAGTGCATATTCTGCATCAAAGTTTGATCAATCCTCTTCAACTGAATCCTGTGCATTTCTTGCTATTTGTTCCTAGGTATTTTATATTGTTCTCATGAATGAGGTCATTCTCTAATTTCTCTCTCTCTCTCTGTCCTTGCATTGTTTTATGCTGTTACCTATGAAGTGTATGTCTTAGGGAAGTCACTCAATCACATTCAGATTTTATTTCTACCTTTGAAAAGTGAACATGAATGCAAAAAATCCTCAAAGTGCTATTGTAAGTACAAGAAGAGCTAAGGCATCTGAAACATCACTATGCAAGGTAGATAGGAATAATCCATAAATCTTTAGCTATTTAGCCATGCATGTGTAGAAATAAATGATTAGATAGCAATTGGGTCACTGAAACAAACTTGGTTATTGAATATTGTTTAGAGACGATTTTGTATCTGATCTTTTTCTTTATTATTATTATTACACTTTAAGTTTTAGGGTACATGTGCACAATGTGCAGGTTTGTTACATATGTATAGATGTGCCATGTTGATGTGCTGCACCCATTAACTTGTCATTTAGCATCAGGTATATCTCCTAATGCTATCCCTCCCCCATCTCCCCACCCCACAGCATGCCCAGGTGTGTGATGTTCCCCTTCCTGTGTCCATGTGTTCTCATTGTTCAGTTCTCACCTATGCGTGAGAACATGTGGTATTTGGTTTTTTGTCCTTGTGATAGTTTGCAGAGAACGATGGTTTCCAGATTCATCCATGTCCCTACAAAGGACATGAACTCATCATTTTTTATGGCTGCATAGTATTCCATGGTGTATATGTGCCACATTTTCTTAATCCAGTCTATCATTGTTGGACATTTGGGTTGGTTCCAAGTCTTTGCTATTGTGAATAGTGCCGCAATAAACATACGTGTGCATGTGTCTTTATAGCAGCATGATTTATAATCCTTTGGGTATATACCCAGTAATGGGATGGCTGGGTCAAATGGTATTTCTAGTTCTAGATCCCTGAGGAATCGCCACACTGACTTCCACAATGGTTGAACTAGTTTACAGTCCCACCAACAGTGTAAAAGTGTTCCTATTTCTCCACATCCTCTCCAGCACCTGTTGTTTCCTGACTTTTTAATGATTGCCATTCTAACTGGTGTGAGATGGTATCTCATTTTGGTTTTGATTTGCATTTCTCTGATGGCCAGTGATGGTGAGCATTTTTTCATGTGTTTTTTGGCTGCATAAATGTCTTCTTTTGAGAAGTGTCTGTTCATATCCTTCACCCACTTTTTGATGGGGTTGTTTGTCTTTTTCTTGTAAATTTGTTTGAGTTCATTGTAGATTCTGGATATTAGCCCTTTGTCAGATGAGTAGGTTGCAAAAATTTTCTTACATTCTGTAGGTTGCCTGTTCACTCTGATGGTAGTTTATTTTGCTGTGCAGAAGCTCTTGAGTTTAATTAGATCCCATTTGTCAATTTCAGCTTTTGTTGCCATTGCTTTTGGTGTTTTAGACATGAAGTCCTTGCCCATGCCTATGTCCTGAATGGTAATGCCTAGGTTTTCTTCTAGTTTTTTTATGGTTTTAGGTCTAACATTGAAGTCTTTAATCCATCTTGAATTAATTTTTGTATAAGGTGTAAGGAAAGGATCCAGTTTCAGCTTTCTACATATGGCTAGCCTGTTTTCCCAGCACCATTTATTAAATAGGGAATCCTTTCCCCATTGCTTGTTTTTCTCAGGTTTGTCAAAGATCAGATAGTTGTAGATATGTGGCATTATTTCTGAGGGCTCTGTTCTGTTCCATTGGTCTATATCTCTGTTTTTGTACCAGTACCATGCTGTTTTGGTTACTGTAGCCTTGTAGTATAGTTTGAAGTCAGGTAGCATGATGCCTCTAGCTTTGTTCTTTTGGTTTAGGATTGACTTGGCACTGTGGTCTCTTTTGTGGTTCCACATGAACTTTAAAGTAGTTTTTTTCCAATTCTGTGAAGAAAGTCATTGGTAGCTTGATGGGGATGGCATTGAATCTATAAATTACCTTGGGCAGTATGGCCATTTTAACGATATTGATTCTTCCTGCCCATGAGCATGGAATGTTCTTCCATTTGTTTGTATCCTCTTTTATTTCACTGAGCAGTGGTTTGTAGTTCTCCTTGAAGAGGTCCTTCACATCCCTTGTAAGTTGGATTCCTATGTATTTTATTCTCTTTGAAGCAATTGTGAATGGGAGTTCACTCATGATTTGGCTCTCTGTTTGTCTGTTATTGGTGTATAAGAATGCTTGTGATTTTTGTACATTGATTTTGAATCCTGAGACTTTGCTGAAGTTGCTTATCAGCTTGAGGAGATTTTGAGCTGAGACGATGGGGATTTCTAGATATACAATCATGTCATCTGCAAACAGGGACAATTTGACTTCCTCTTTTCCTAGTTGAATGCTCTTTATTTCCTTCTCCTGCCTCATTGCCCTGGCCAGAACTTCCAACACTATGTTCAATAGGAGGGGTGAGAGAGGGCATCCTTGTCTTCTGCCCGTTTTCAAAGGGAATGCTTCCAGTTTTTGCCCATTCAGTATGATATTGGCTGTGGGTGTGTCATAGATAGCTCTTATTATTTTGAGATATGTCCCATCATTACCTAATTTATTGAGAGTTTTTAGCATGAAGGAAGTTGTTGAACCTTGTCAAAGGCTTTTTCTGTGTCTATTGAGATAATCATGTGGTTTTTGCCTTTGGTTCTGTTTATATGCTGGATTACATTTATTGATTTGTGTATGTTGAACCATCCTTGCATCCCAGGGATGACGCCCACTTGATCATGGTGGATAAGCTTTTTGATGTGCTGCTGGATTCGGTTTGCCAGTATTTTATTGAGGATTTTTGCATCAATGTTCATCAAGGATATTGGTCTAAAATTCTCTTTTTTGGTTGTGTCTCTGCCAGGCTTTGGTATCAGGATGATGCTGGCCTCATAAAATGAGTTAGGGAGGATTCCCTCTTTTTCTATTGATTGGAATAGTTTCAGAAGGAATGGTACCAGCTCCTCTTTGCACCTCTGGTAGAATTTGGCTGTGAATCTATCTGGTCCTGGACTTTTTTTGTTTGGTAAGCTATTGATTATTGCCTCAATTTCAGAGCCTGTTATTGGTCTATTCAGAGATTCAACTTCTTACTGGTTTAGTCTTGGGAAGATGTATGTGTCGAGGAATTTATCCATTTCTTCTAGATTTTCTAGTTTATTTGCATAGAGCTGTTTATAGTACTCTCTGATGGTAGTTTGTATTTCTGTGGGATCAGTGGTGATATCCCCTTTGCCATTTTTATTGCGTCTATTTGATTCTTCTCTGTTTTCTTCTATATTAGTCTTGCTAGCGGTCTATCAATTTTGTTGATATTTTCACAAAACCAGCTCCTGGATTTATTAATTTTTTTGAAGGGTTTTTTGTGTCTGTATTTCCTTCAGTTCTGCTCTGATGTTAGTTATTTCTTGCCTTCTGCTAGCCTTTTGAATATGTTTGCTCTTGCTTTTCTAGTTCTTTTACTTGTGATGTTAGAGTGTCAATTTTAGATCTTTCCTGCTTTCTCCTGTGGGCAGTCAGTGCTATAAATTTCCCTCTACACACTGCTTTGAATGTGCCCCAGAGATTCTGGTATGTTGTGTCTTTGTTCTCGGTGGTTTCAAAGAACATCTTTATTTCTGCCTTCATTTCGTTATGTACCCAGTAGTCATTCAGGAGTAGGTTGTTCAGTTTCCATGTATTTGAGCGGTTTTGAGTGAGTTTCTTAATCCTGGGTTCTCGTTTGATTGCACTGTGGTCTGAGAGGCAGTTTGTTATAATTTCTATTCTTTTACATTTGCTGAGGAGTGCTTTACTTCCAACTATGTGGTCAATTTTGGAGTAGGTGTGGTGTGGTGCTGAAAAGAATGTATATTCTGTTGATTTGGGGTGGAGAGTTCTGTAGATGTCTATTAGGTCCGCTTGGTGCAGAGCTGAGTTCAATTCCTGGGTATCCTTGTTAACTTTCTGTCTCGTTGATCTGTCTAATGTTGACAGTGGGGTGTTAAAGTCTCCCATTATTATTGTGTGGGAGTCTAAGTCTCTTTGTAGGTCATTAAGGACTTGCTTCATGAATCTGAGTGCTCCTGTATTGGGTGCATATATATTTAGGATAGTTAGCTCTTCTTGTTGAATTGAACCCTTTACCATTATATAATGGCCTTCTTTGTCTCTTTTGATCTTTGTTGGTTTAAAGTCTGTTTTATCAGAGACTAGAATTGCAACCCCTGCCTTTTTTTGTTTTCCATTTTCATGGTAGATCTTCCTCCATCCCTTTATTTTGAGCCTATGTGTGTCTCTGCATGTGAGATGGGTTTCCTGAATACAGCACACTGATGGGTCTTGACTCTATTCAATTTGCCAGTCTGTGTCTTTTAATTGGAGCATTTAGGTCATTTACCTTTTTAGTTAATATTGTTATGTGTGAATTTTGATCCTGTCATTATGATGTTAGCTGGTTATTTTGCTTGTTAGTTGATGCAGTTTCTTCCTAGCCTTGATGGTCTTTAAAATTTGGCATGTTTTTGCAGTGGCTGGTACCGGTTGTTCCTTTCCATATTTAGTGCTTCCTTCAGGAGCTCTTTTAGGGCAGGCCTGGTGGTGACAAAATCTCTCAGCATTTGCTTGTCTGTAAAGTATTTTATTTCTCCTTCACTTATGAAGCTTAGTTTGGCTGGATATGAAATGCCGGACTAAAAATTCTTGTCTTTAAGAATGTTGAATATTGGTCCCCACTCTCTTCTGGCTTGTAGAGTTTCTGCCAAGAGATCAGCTGTTGGTTGGATGGGCTTCCCTTTGTGGGTAACCTGACCTTTCTCTCTGGCTGCCCTTAACATTTTTTCCTTCATTTCAACTTTCGTGAATCTGACAATTATGTGTCTTGGATTTGCTCTTCTTGAGGAGTATCTTCGTGGTGTTCTCTGTATTTCCTGAATTTGAATGTTGGCCTGCCTTGCTAGATTGGGGAAGTTCTCCTGGATGATATCCTGCAGAGTTTTTTCCAACTTGGTTCCATTCTCCCTGTCACTTTCAGGTACACCAATCAGATGTAGATTTAGTCTTTTCACATAGTCCCATATTTCTTGGAGGCTTTGTTTGTTTCTTTTTATTCTTTTTTCTCTAAACTTCTCTTCTCACTTCATTTCATTCATTTCATCTTCCATCACTGATACCCTTTCTTCCAGTTGATTGCATTGGCTACAGAGGCTTCTGCATTCATCATGTAGCTCTCGTGCCTTGGTTTTCAGCTCCATCAGGTCCTTTAAGGAGTTCTCTGTATTGGTTATTGTGGTTATCCATTCATCTAATTTCTTTTCAAAGCTTTTAACTTGTTTGCCATTGGTTCGAATTTCCTCCTGTAGCTCGCAGTAGTTTGATCGTCTGAAGCCTTCTTCTCTCAACTCGTCAAAGTCATTGTCCGTCCAGCTTTGTTCCATTGCTGGTGAGGAGCTGCGTTCCTTTGGAGGAGGAGAGGCACTCTGATTTTTAGAGTTTCCAGTTTTCCTGCTCTGTTTTTTTCCCATCTTTGTGGTTTTATCTACCTTTGCTCTTTGATGTTGGTGATGTACAGATGGGTTTTTGGTGTGGATGTCCTTTCTGTTTGTTAGTTTTCCTTCTAACAGACAGGACCCTCAGCTGCAGGTCTGTTGGAGTTTGCTAGAGGTCCACTCCAGACCCTGTTTGCCTGGGTATCAGCAGTGGTGGCTGGAGAACAGCAGATATTGGTGAACCGCAAATGCTGCTGTCTGATCGTTCCTCTGGAAGTTTTGTCTCAGAAGAGTACCTGGCCGTGTGAGGTGTCAGTTGGCCCCTACTGGGGGATGCCTCCCAGTTAGTCTACTCGGGGATCAGGGACCCACTTGAGGAGGCAGTCTACCTGTTCTCAGATCTCAAGCTGCGTGCTGGAAGAACCACTACTCTCTTCAAAGCTCAGTTGGAAATGCAGAAATCACCCATCTTCTGCGTCGCTCATGCTGGGAGCTGTAGACTGGAGCTGTTCCTATTCGGCCATCTTGGCTCCTCCTCCAATCATTTTTTAAATGAATGTTCTATCTCTGTCTCACAGCATGGGCTTCCTCACAGCATGTGGCAGGTTCCATAAATAATAATTTGGAATTGCATGGCATTTCTATGATCTAGACTCAAAAGTCACAAAGTATCACTTCTGATATAATCTACTGGTCATGGCAGTAACGAAGTTCTACCCCAATTAAAGGGGGTAAGAAGACCTCACCCCTTCAAGAAAGGATGTCAAGGTACCATTGTAAGAAGAAAATATTAGATGAATGATTCTGTCATGATCATTATTTTAAAAACAATTTCCAAGATGATAAATATGCTCACATGTGGACTTCAAAATCAATGAAATAAACAATAATTTGTGGTTCTTAAGCAGAAGAGACAACATCTTTTGTAAGAGATAGGTACAGGTTTATCTGTTTAATAAGTGAGTCATTGATTAATCACTTTAATGAAATTCCTGTTTTAAATGTATCAGCTTACGGACTTGGTACATCATCAGAAAAGTATGAGGGTGATATACATTGCTTTGTATTTCTTATGAGATAAGTTGTGATTGTACTTCTCTATGAACTGCTAGGAAGTGTAACTGAAAGGTGAAGAATACACTCTGACATTGTGATAACAGTGGTGAGCTGAGGCTGCAGACACTTGACCTTAGGCTGATGACCAATGCCTTCTGTGGCCCCAACCACTCAGGACAGTACACCAGCTCTGGGGCCAGGACACAGGAGATATCTTCATGCAGAAGACTGAAAGCTGTGTAAGTGGTATACAATTTATCCTTTCTTAGAGAACTCTCTGAACAGACTCCCTCTTGGATTTCTAGAATTTTAGAATCATTGTGATTAGAAGGATCAAATTTAGTAAATTTAAAAGGGCATACACATATTTTGCCAATGCCAATATGTCACCCAAGAAAAATGCACGTATCATGGATTAAGGAAGTACATACAGGATCTATATTGGCAGGGTTTTGTAATTAGAAAAAAAGGAATTAATTCCTCTGAGTGTCTTTATATAAATCCAAGGGGTAAAACAGAATACTGGAAGATGTTTAAATGTGATTATGATTTTAAACAAACATGTTTACTCAGGAAAATATATTTTTCCTCACCTCAGCTGTTTATGTCTCAGGAAAACATAACCTTGAAAATATTGTAAGAGAAACTTGTTTTTATTCTCTGAATCTCCTTTCCTTTCACATTCTTGTAAAGAAATGAATGAAGACCAAGTAACCAGTGGAGCACAATAGGCAAGAACTCAGCTATGAGAACTAACTGCCTTCCAGTCCACTTACTACCTTTATATGATCCTAGGCATGCACCTAAGTCACCTCATCTACAAAATTAAGATAATAATAATCATCACATCTCCCTCATATGATGGTTCTGAAGATTGAATATCATATAGTAAATGCTGAAGAAATGTTTTCTATTATAATCAGCCTTTGCTAGGATAAATGGAAAGAATATAAATATGCTCAAATAGTTGTGAAATATACATATTAGAGAGCATCAACATCAAATAAAAATATAAAGATGACCATCCTACCAATGTAACCGAAGTTTTTAGAAAAGTCAACACAAATCTGAATTCTCACACACAACTGTATTACCAGAATGGTTGGTTTATGCAATGAACACAGTAAGTTGAGGAAGATTTTGCTTTCTGTTCCATTCACAGAGCTTCCAAGTCTTCAAAAAGAGAGAGATGTGTGAGTGTGAGAGAGCTGAGGCATGAAGTTTGGATCTTATTACAAGTGCAGAAGAAAATCCTAAGAGCATTGGAAGCACAAAAGTGTTATGATCTAATTCCTACTTTTCAATGATCACCCTGACTGATATGAGGGGAATGGATATGGGATGTGCTGGGGTAGGAATGTTACCAAGAGCACTGAGGATATTAAACTTCTTCAGGAGAGAGCATCATGGCCTGAACTATCACCTTCTAGTAAATATTATGCAAGTGGTTGTATTTGGGATGAGTGTTGAAAGTGGAGGAAACTGGATTTGCTAAAGGGCAGTGCCTGAAGGGAGTGAGGAGTTTTGAACCACTGAACACTTGACTTAGAAAAGGTTGGGAGCTGTTATGAGAGCTGAATTGTGTTTCCTAAAATTTCATATGTTGAAGGCTGTTCCTTCAGGACCTGAGAATATGAACATGGATATTAGAAGGCAAGTGGAGTGCTCAGGGCTTCCACTCACGTCTAGGTGCCCAAGTTCCTGCTGCAGTCCTGCTTCTCTCTTCCACCCACCCTCACCCACAGAGAGTGTCCCTTTCCGCATTTCCATCACCTCTTTTTTGTTTTGTCTGGTGAGTGCATAGCTGATATTTATGCTTTCCTGATAAACTTTACTCATTGCTGACATTGGAGAAGGTCAGGAAAGGGCCTGAAATGAGTGATCTTTAGGGGGGTTTTCATTCTCTTCCTGTACCTTCCTGCCAAGGGGAAGTCGGTCTTGCATCAGGCTGCAGCAACCTCAGTTGGTGACAATATCAGGCAATGTCAGCCTGGCCTCTGCTGCTCCTTTTCTCTGACATTCCTTTGTTACCTGATGGTCTAACTTAAGCCACCTAAGCAGGATTGCTCATCTCCAGTTGTATTCCCATTTCAAGTACGTGTATATTTTTGTCAGGGAAAATACCAATCTTCGTGGTTCCCTTGCAAGGGCAAAGTTATCTGTAGCAAAGCCTTTTTTATTAGGAAGTCTGCTTGTACTATTACCTGCAACTCTTCAGAAGGGCCACCCAGATTCTCATCTGCAAAGCCCAGGATCTACTCATCCACAATGTTCAAGAGGCCTGTCTTTAGGATTTACTGTCACATACCCTCTCTACCTCCATCATACCTCCAACCAAGGTGTTCTCAAATTAATACCAGCCATGCACAAAATGTGAACAATTACACAAGACACATGGAAGGTCTAAGTGGTAAATGGCAGCTGTTGATACTGAGTAACCTGTATATTCCATGAACTGATAAGCAGGTATTTATCAGATATAACGAAGAATCAGTAGCTGAAAGAAGTGCTAACAATGCAGGTCTCTGATAGGGCTTTTTGGAAACACAACACGTATTATGAAATTACACAGACAAGAATGAAACAAAGATGGTAAGTACTATATCCTAATACTTAGAAGATTAAATAAAGGAAATCTCACCAAATTCATGGGGAAAAAAGCCAGATACATAAAGAAAAATACACATAATGGGCTTGACTCAGAAAATAAAATATGAACAAAGAAGAACCAGAAAGAAGGTGGGGAGGAATGCATATCAGAATATTATAGAAAAATACTCTTTGTGGAAGAACAATCTGAGAAAACAGGTAACACAAATACTGACTAAACCAAGAATACCAATATAATGCAATTTAGGCTTTAACGAGGGTATCTGATTATCCTATTTGAATGTAGAATTGTAGCCACTTAATTATAAGTGGTAGGAATTCAATACAATTATTAAAAGAAATGAAGCAGAGGGTGAATATTATAGAATATTCTGGACAAAGGGAAGAGCATGAAGGAAGTTTTGGCAACATGATATCGCATGGCTCCCGCAAGGAATTATGTATTCAGTTTTCTCAGATCTAGAAATTTCCTTATGGTTTCTGTGTACATTTTGCATTAATAACCCCTAAAGGTACTTTAAAATACACAATTTTGGCCTTCCTGTGTGGCACAACAACAAGCCTTGCCTGAGCTGAGTCAGATCCACAGAAGCTTGAACAATAGTTGTAGCCCGAGCAGGCTGTGGGGCAGCTTTCTGTCATCTATGTGTGCCCAGGAGTGTGTTGTCTTCACACCATCACACAGGTAACAGAAACCATCTCTATCGCATCAAAACTTTAGCCAATTGTGATACTATCTGTACACACACATCACAAGAGATGGAAATAGGCTCTATAAAGAGCCAGAGAAATTGACCATCTTCACTGCTGGCTGTAGCTTCACTGCCCCCACAAATATTACACAGAAATAAATAGTAGAGTGGAAAGCAGACATAGTCTTACCAAAAGGATTGAAACTCTAATGATGTCTGAAGTTCAATTATGACACAGTGCTGATAGCTTGGACACAGTTCCTTTAGAACCTTTATTCAAGTCATAGTCGTACCTTTTAGAAATAAGGCACAAACAACATCCAACCCACCCCATCCCTCTGGGCTAGAGTCCCAAAGAGAAATAAGGGATACACCTGACCTGCAGTAAGGAAAGCAGAACCCAGTCTCTGAGGTGGTGAGGCCCACCCAGGGCTCAAAGGTGCCATTGTTTTGCTCCTCTTTATAAAGGGAGTTGCCACGTTCCTCCCAGCACAGAGTTGGGAGTGACTCCAGAGCCTCCAGCGAGATGCTGCTGATTCTGCTGTCAGTGGCCCTGCTGGCCCTGAGCTCAGCTGAGAGTTCAAGTGAAGGTAAAACAGAAGGGGGAAAAGATGCGGTGACTGCTTGGGACTTAGGAGGTGACAGTGGTAATTATGGGGAAGAGAGGAGAATGAAAACACAGATGGGGCTGCAGAGTTTTCATGCCTAGGATCAGGAGACCTGTTGTGCCCTCATTCCACAATAAGGACTTCTAATTTATTTAATGTACAATGAAATCCAATAACGAATTTGTTCCAGGGGAATGAGAAGGTAAGATTTGAATTTATAGAGATAGAACTGTGCTGTGAAGGCTGCAGTGGAGAGTGCAAGGCAGATTCAGGGAAGTCCAGCTGTGAAGATCCTATACTGATCCCAGTAAGTACACAGGGATGATGGTGGCCTTGCTGTACAGACAGTCGGCATTGATGATAGAGATACATACACATCAGAGATACTGCAGAGACAGAACTGGATAGAACACTTGTCTCTGTCTAACTAAAGATGTAGAAATATCAGAGCCAATCATTACAATTTTTCTCTCCCCTACATGCAGTATTTCAATGTGCTGGGAGTGGAATGGGTTAGATTGTATTGAAATGATTACTTCTGGTTACCCCTATTGAGAAAACATGTGTATGTATGCAATATATTAACAGGAGATGGAGGGCATAAGAACACCAAAATATCACATTGAAGTACCTGGCATGCATAAACTAAATAAGCATTAAGTCTTGAGGGATGCTAGGGAGGAAAAAAAGGGGCTGTTCTATGTTGAACTCATTGCTGTTGCTCTGTGTGGTAACAACCCTGCCTCCTCTTACACCTTCCACCCCTTCCAGCACCTTCACAGATGGTGGCTGATGAGTTAACCTAGGGGATGCATGGGGTGTGGTGAGAAGACAATTTTCCCTGTAGAACACTTGTGAGTCTTGAAGATTTGAGATGTAACATTTCCCATCATCCTGTGCTTCTCTTCTAGATGTCAGCCAGGAAGAATCTCTCTTCCTAATATCAGGTAAATCCCAATTCATTCTCAATCTGTTTTGACTCCCTTTTTCTGCTTACAAATGGATCATTTCTCCAGTGTCTTCTTATCAACACTTTCCTTTCAGGAATTGATTAATGTTATTGCCCCTAATGATATAGGCAATCTTCATGCAAACTTGATTCTGGGGACCATGAGCAGGCCACCAAATGGAATGTCAGAGATGCTTGGCTTAGATGACAACAGGAGTGGGTTGACATCCCCCTGGCCAGGAGTGCCTCCTGGGAGATGACAGACAAATGGCCAGTGTCCTTATTCTGACTCCTCCTTAGACTGAGAGCCCCTCAACTTCTCCCTTTTCCCCCAGCGTTCCACTCCAGAGTTCTAGGGCTTCACTGAAAATGCAAAGAAATTAGTATCTGGGTCTCATTTTTGTGCATTTCCCCATTTAGCTCCATTACTGTAAAAATTTGTGGCAACTATTCAGTGAATGCCGTATGTCCCCCACCTCCTCCAGGAAAGCCAGAAGGACGACGCCCACAAGGAGGAAACCAGCCCCAACGTCCCCCACCTCCTCCAGGAAAGCCACAAGGACCACCCCCACAAGGAGGAAACCAGTCCCAAGGTCCCCCACCTCCTCCAGGAAAGCCAGAAGGACGACCCCCACAAGGAGGCAACCAGTCCCAAGGTCCCCCACCTCATCCAGGAAAGCCAGAAAGACCACCCCCACAAGGAGGAAACCAGTCCCAAGGTACCCCACCTCCTCCAGGAAAGCCAGAAAGACCACCCCCACAAGGAGGCAACCAGTCCCACCGTCCCCCACCTCCTCCAGGAAAGCCAGAAAGACCACCCCCACAAGGAGGTAACCAGTCCCAAGGTCCCCCACCTCATCCAGGAAAGCCAGAAGGACCACCCCCACAGGAAGGAAACAAGTCCCGAAGTGCCCGATCTCCTCCAGGAAAGCCACAAGGACCACCCCAACAAGAAGGCAACAAGCCTCAAGGTCCCCCACCTCCTGGAAAGCCACAAGGCCCACCCCCAGCAGGAGGCAATCCCCAGCAGCCTCAGGCACCTCCTGCTGGAAAGCCCCAGGGGCCACCTCCACCTCCTCAAGGGGGCAGGCCACCCAGACCTGCCCAGGGACAACAGCCTCCCCAGTAATCTAGGATTCAATGACAGGTATGATTCCACTTTATTATTCATCAGGACTCTAATTGCTACAGTTCTCCAACTTTATTGTGCCAATGAATCAACTAAAACCCATTGACATTGTATTGTCCTAGAACCCATTTCTAAAAATTTGTATTCAGATACTCTGGAATAGGGTAAGGGGACCCTGTATTTCTAACAAAATCTTTAAGGAATTCTGATGTTGAGAAACAACATACCATATGATCTGTCTTAAATTGTGTTGGCAATGAGGAGGTAGTACCATGTTCATTCTTGGCGTTCTGTTTTCTATCCACTAACTCAGAGACCTCCCATTTAAAGTTTTCACCTGAGCACCATTTGCTCAGTCCTGCCTCACACCAGCCTCTCGAGTCCAGTATTCCTGCCAAATGGTCCCTGATCTTTCAGCAGCTAAATGGCGTGTCACTTTTTAGATACTTAACTTTTCAATACGTACATGATTAAGCTAACAAAAAATATCTAATGGAATGGAAAAATATGAAGCTAATTTTAAAGGCATAACACATCCTACCCACCTTCCTTCCTTCAAAAAGCTCCCACTGTTAACCTTATGGGATCTTTTCTTTGAAATATTTATGTGTGCATAGACATATAGCATTCTTTTACCCTACCACTAATGCCATAACTTATATGCAGGTATATATGTTAGTCATTTAAAAAATACATTTTTTTAAAATTTCCACATCAGTTTATGAAGGTCACTACATATCTTCAGTGGTTTTCTGTTTGCTTTTACATTTTTATACTACTCTATTGTGTAGCTGTGCCATGATTTCGTTAACCAATCCCTGTCACTGGACACTGAGGGTGGTTTTAGCTTCTCAGTATTATAGAATATGTTCCAGTTACCATCTGTGTAAATATATCCCTGAACAAATTCAACAGCAATGAGTCACAGCAACCTAAGGATGGTCTTTTCTCTTCATCTTCTAAGCCACAATTTGGAGCACATTGTGTGCAAGGGCATCAAAAGAGTGAATCTATGAACTTGCTTGTTTGTTTATTTCAGGAAGTGAATAAGAAGATATCAGTGAATTCAAATAATTCAATTGCTACAAATGCCGTGACATTGGAACAAGGTCATCATAGCTCTAACTTTAATATACCAATAAAATAATCAGCTTGCAATTTCTGATTGTGGTGTTCTTTCTCAGTGTTTGTGAATGTGGAATGTGAGGACCAAGAACACATTATAAGAACATCTAGGACCCCTTCTGTCTGATGCTTCCAGGGAGTTTCCCTTCTCTTTAATCCTAACTTAGCCAGCTGCCATGAAAAATGTTTTGCTGTTTATCTCTTTCCCTGACTTCAATTTTTTTTTCTTTTTCTGAGATGGAGTCTTGCTCTATCACCTAGGTTGGAATGCAGTGGCGTGATCTTGGCTAACTGCAACCTGCACCTCCTGGGTTCAAGCTATTCTCCTGCCTCACCCTTCACAGTAGCTGGGATTACAGGTTCCCACCATCACACCTGGGTAATTTTTGTAATTTTAGTTGAGATGCGTTTTCACCCTGTTGGCCAGGCTAGGCTAGAAATTCTGACTTCAGGTCATCCGCTTGCCTTGGCCTCCAAATGTGTTGGGATTACAGGCATGAGCCACCACACCTGGCTCCTCCCTGACTTCTACAGCACAAATTGAAAATCTAAAATTATTTTCAGATTGTTTACTGATATTCCAGTAATTTTAAGGACAAAAACCACAACAAATGGAAAATAAGTCACAGAAACTAAAAGAAATCCTTATAATTTCTAAGAAACTGAGTTTGGTTTCAAGGGAACAAACAGGGTTCTATGCTTCTTATTCCCAGAGCCCTCTCTATCCCATTGACCCTATTTTAACAGTGATCACTTCCCTCCCTCCCTATGTTCCTCACCTTTCTTTAATGAAACCTGAATGGATTTCATCAAGGAGGCAGCATGACTTTTAGGAGCAAAGAATTGGGACACTCTCAGATTTTAGTTAAGACATAACTCTTTCTTGCTAGCCTGAACTCTTAAAAAGCTACTTGGTCTCTCAGAGCTTCAATTTCCTCATCTACAATGAGAAGAATCAAAACAACTACCTTAGAATATGGAGACTATTCAGATAACATATGTACCAAAAACCTTGCAGAGATTGGCATGTCTGCTTCTCAAGCAAGGAAGGTTCAATATTAGAAAACTGCCCCTGTGCCCACCGATAGCCTCAGATAATTCACTATGAATTTCAGAAATTTCAGAATAGAAGGATCTCACTGTAACCATCACCAAGTTGAGCAACCCACATTCAGTTCAATCCCAGTTCTCTGACTTCTCTCCTATTATCATAGTTGAAGGCTCCCTACCCCTATCTCTTATCTTTCCTCTTGATTCTGAACCACATTACCCAGTCAAGGATTTTGCTTCTGTATGTGACCCTTTTGTCTCCTGATTCTTACATCTATGCTCTATGGGATTACCTCAATCAGCAAAAGCCTGCTGAAACATCACCCATTTTTACAGAGGTTTTGCTAAGACTCTTAGTGTTTCTTTCCTACCCTATTATTTGTCTGCCATTTTTATTGCAAAAGTTCTTGAAACATATGTATGTGATTATTTCCCCATCCCCTCCCTTCCATTTTCTTTTTAAACACACATTAAAGATGCTTTTGTTCTTTCCACTCCAAGTCTGTCAAGGTCATCTACTGCCTGCATTCCACTCATTTCAGGAATCGATTATCAGTCCTGCATCTCCTGTGACCCCTTGGCAGTTTAACACCATTGATCCTACAATTCTTTTGGGAACACTCTATCAATCTTTCCGGGAACCTCCCACTCTCTCCTCGGGTTTCTCCTACCTCTGCCTCTTCCCTCCTGTAACTACAAAGTTACTCCTCTTCCAACTCTATTTGGTCTTGGTAAATTATTCATCTAATTAATTAAGGAAACTAGGATTTATTCTAGACTCTTCTCTTTTCCTCTTACATCACATTACATCTAGTCAAATCAGCTATGTTATCATTGTGAAATTCAAGCTTCAAAACAATTTCCTACTGCAGCCAGTTTCATCATTTTCATCTCTATCAGCCCATCTAAGCAAGCCTCATCTGCAGTTTACACCAAATAGTTCTATTTATTTCCCAACAATCAATTACCCACCTTGGCCATTTAAAAATTATATTACTTTTCTATGTTTTCCAGTTGATGGCCACACTTTTACTCTCTAAGAACAAAATGCTAATTATTTAACTATGCTGAAGTCCTATGTATTGAGCCCTAACTATCTCTGGAATTGGTGGCTGCTCTATACCTAGTTCATTCTGCTGTGGCCACACTGGTCATTGCCTCTTCTTTTTAATGGTGAGGATGGGGGAGCAGTATGCCTAGAGTTTCTGTTAATTTTAAAAAATGTTTATTTGCACAAATGTATGTATTACAAGTTTGGTTTTGTTAAATAGATTACATAGTGCTTAAGCCATGACATTAGAGTATTCATTATTCAATAACAAAATCTGCATTTATTAATTAATATCCTACTGCTCAACTGCTCAAGTGTGGCAAGTGCCTCCCCAACTTCCCAGTCTTCATTGTGTATTATTTCACTCTCTTCATCTGTGCAAACACATTCTTTAGCAACCACTTACAAGTGAGAGCGTGTTATATTTCATTTTCTGTATCTAGCCTGTTTTGCTTAAGAAAATGACCCCCAGTTCCATCCATATTGCCACAAAATATGTGATTTCATTCTCTCTTTATGATTGAGTGATATGGCATTGGGTATACATAATTACATTTTTAATCAAATCATTCATTAATGGACACTTAGGTTGATTCAATATCTTTGTTCCTGTGAATGTTGCTACAATAAACATACAGGTCAAGGTATGTGTTTGATACATTGACTACTTTTCCTTTGGGGAGATACCCAGTTGTAGGATTGCTCAATGGAAATATAGTTCTAGTTTTAGTTCTTTGAGAAATCACACTGTTTTCTATAGAAGCTGTACTAATTAACATTCCCACCAGGGGTGTATAAGAGTTCTCCTTTCTCCATATCCTTGCCAACAGCTGTTATTTTTCACGCTTTTAATCATAGTCATTCTGACTGAGGTAAGATGGTATTTCTTTGTGGCTTTCCTTTCTTTTCTTTTTTATTATACTTTAAGTTCTGGGATACATGTGCAGAAGGTGCAGGTTTGTTACATAGGTATACATGTGCCATGGTGGTTTGCTGCACCCATCAACCCATCATCTAGGTTTTCAGCCTGGCATGCATTAGGTATTTCTCCTAATGCTATCCCTCCCCTTGCCTCCTGCTCCCCGACATCCCCTGGTGTGTGATGTTCCCCTCCCTGTGTCCCTGTGTTCTCATTGTTCAACTCCCACTTATGAGTAAGAACATGTGGTGTTTGGTTTTCTGTTCCTGTGTTACTTTGCTGAGAATCATGGTTTCCAGATTCATCCATGTCCCTGCAAAGAACACGAACTCATCCTTTTTTATAGCTGCATAGTATTCCAAGGTGTATATGTGCCACATTTTTTTTTCTTTTTTTTTAAATTATTTATTTATTTTTTTTAATTATACTTTAAGTTTTAGGGTACATGTGCACAATGTGCAGGTTAGTTACATATGTATACATGTGCCATGCTGGTGTGCTGCACCCACTAACTCGTCATCTAGCATTAGGTATATCTCCCAAAGCTATCCCTCCCCCCTCCCCCCTCCCCACCACAGTCCCCAGAGTGTGATATTCCCCTTCCTGTGTCCATGTGATCTCATTGTTCAATTCCCACCTATGAGTGAGAATATGCGGTGTTTGGTTTTTTGTTCTTGCAATAGTTTACTGAGAATGATGGTTTCCAATTTCATCCATCTCCCTACAAAGGACATGAACTCATCATTTTTTATGGCTGCATAGTATTCCATGGTGTATATGTGCCACATTTTCTTAATCCAGTCTATCATTGTTGGACATTTGGGTTGGTTCCAAGTCTTTGCTATTGTGAATAGTGCCGCAATAAACATACGTGTGCATGTGTCTTTATAGCAGCATGATTTATAGTCATTTGGGTATATACCCAGTAATGGGATGGCTGGGTCAAATGGTATTTCTAGTTCTAGATCCCTGAGAAATCGCCACACTGACTTCCACAATGGTTGAACTAGTTTACAGTCCCACCAACAGTGTAAAAGTGTTCCTATTTCTCCACATCCTCTCCAGCACCTGTTGTTTCCTGACTTTTTAATGATTGCCATTCTAACTGGTGTGAGATGATATCTCATAGTGGTTTTGATTTGCATTTCTCTGATGGCCAGTGATGATGAGCATTTTTTCATGTGTTTTTTGGCTGCATAAATGTCTTCTTTTGAGAAGTGTCTTTTCATATCCCTCGCCCACTTTTTGATGGGGTTGTTTGTTTTTTTCTTGTAAATTTGTTTGAGTTCATTGTAGATTCTGGATATTAGCCCTTTGTCAGATGAGTAGGTTGTGAAAATTTTCTCCCATTCTGTAGGTTGCCTGTTCACTCTGATGGTAGTTTATTTTGCTGTGCAGAAGCTCTTGAGTTTAATTAGATCCCATTTGTCAATTTTGGCTTTGGTTGCCATTGCTTTTGGTGTTTTGGACATGAAGTCCTTGCCCATGCCTAGGTCCTGAATGGTAATGTCTAGGTTTTCTTCTAGGGTTTTTATGGTTTTAGGTCTAACGTTTAAGTCTTTAATCCATCTTGAATTGATTTTTGTATAAGGTGTAAGGAAGGGATCCAGTTTCAGCTTTCTACATATGGCTAGCCAGTTTTCCCAGCACCATTTATTAAATAGGGAATCCTTTCCCCATTGCTTGTTTTTCTCAGGTTTGTCAAAGATCAGATAGTTGTAGGTATGCGGTGTTATTTCTGAGGGCTCTGTTCTGTTCCATTGATCTATATCTCTGTTTTGGTACCAGTACCATGCTGTTTTGGTTACTGTAGCCTTGTAGTATAGTTTGAAGTCAGGTAGTGTGATGCCTCCAGCTTTGTTTTTTTGGCTTAGGATTGACTTGGCGATGTGGGCTCTTTTTTGGTTCCATATGAACTTTAAAGTAGTTTTTTCCAATTCTGTGAAGAAAGTCATTGGTAGCTTGATGGGGATGGCATTGAATCTGTAAATTACCTTGGGCAGTATGGCCATTTTCACGATATTGATTCTTCCTACCCATGAGCATGGAATGTTCTTCCATTTGTTTGTATCCTCTTTTATTTCATTGAGCAGTGGTTTGTAGTTCTCCTTGAAGAGGTCCTTCACATCCCTTGTAAGTTGGATTCCTAGGTATTTTATTCTCTTTGAAGCAATTGTGAATGGGAGTTCACTCATGATTTGGCTCTCTGTTTGTCTGTTGTTGGTGTATAGGAATGCTTGTGATTTTTGTACATTGATTTTGTATCCTGAGACTTTGAGGAAGTTGCTTATCAGCTTAAGGAGATTTTGGGCTGAGACAATGGGGTTTTCTAGATAAACAATCATGTCATCTGCAAACAGGGACAATTTGACTTCCTCTTTTCCTAATTGAATACCCTTTATTTCCTTCTCCTGCCTGATTGCCCTGGCCAGAACTTCCAACACTATGTTGAATAGGAGCGGTGAGAGAGGGCATCCCTGTCTTGTGCCAGTTTTCAAAGGGAATGCTTCCAGTTTTTGCCCATTCAGTCTGATATTGGCTGTGGGTGTGTCATAGATAGCGCTTATTATTTTGAAATACGTCCCATCAATACCTAATTTATTGAGAGTTTTTAGCATGAAGGGTTGTTGAATTTTGTCAAAGGCTTTTTTTGCATCTATTGAGATAATCATGTGGTTTTTGTCTTTGGCTCTGTTTATATGCTGGATTACATTTATTGATTTGCGTATATTGAACCAGCCTTGCATCCCAGGGATGAAGCCCACTTGATCATGGTGGTTAAGCTTTTTGATGTGCTGCTGGATTCGGTTTGCCAGTATTTTATTGAGGATTTTTGCATCAATGTTCATCAAGGATATTGGTCTAAAATTCTCTTTTTTGGTTGTGTCTCTGCCCGGCTTTGGTATCAGAATGATGCTGGCCTCATAAAATGAGTTAGGGAGGATTCCCTCTTTTTCTATTGATTGGAATAGTTTCAGAAGTAATGGTACCAGTTCCTCCTTGTACCTCTGGTAGAATTCGGCTGTGAATCCATCTGGTCCTGGACTCTTTTTGGTTGGTAAACTATTGATTATTGCCACAATTTCAGCTCCTGTTATTGGTCTATTCAGATTCAACTTCTTCCTGGTTTAGTCTTGGGAGAGTGTATGTGTCGAGGAATGTATCCATTTCTTCTAGATTTTCTAGTTTATTTGCATAGAGGTGTTTGTAGTATTCTCTGATGGTAGTTTGTATTTCTGTGGGATCGGTGGTGATATCCCCTTTATCATTTTTTATTGTGTCTATTTGATTCTTCTCTCTTTTTTTCTTTATTAGTCTTGCTAGCGGTCTATCAATTTTGTTGATCCTTTCAAGAAACCAGCTCCCGGATTCATTGATTTTTTGAAGGGTTTTTTGTGTCTCTATTTCCTTCAGTTCTGCTCTGATTTTAGTTATTTCTTGCCTTCTGCTAGCTTTTGAATGTGTTTGCTCTTGCTTTTCTAGTTCTTTTAATTGTGATGTTAGGGTGTCAATTTTGGATCTTTCCTGCTTTCTTTTGTGGGCATTTAGTGCTATAAATTTCCCTCTACACACTGCTTTGAATGTGTCCCAGAGATTCTGGTATGTTGTGTCTTTGTTCTCGTTGGTTTCAAAGAACATCTTTATTTCTGCCTTCATTTCGTTATGTACCCAGTAGTCATTCAGGAGCAGGTTGTTCAGTTTCCAAGTAGTTGAGCGGCTTTGAGTGAGATTCTTAATCCTGAGTTCTAGTTTGATTGCACTGTGGTCTGAGAGATAGTTTGTTATAATTTCTGTTCTTTTACATTTGCTGAGGAGAGCTTTACTTCCAACTATGTGGTCAATTTTGGAATAGGTGTGGTGTGGTGCTGAAAAAAATGTATATTCTGTTGATTTGGGGTGGAGAGTTCTGTAGATGTCTATTAGGTCCGCTTGGTGCAGAGCTGAGTTCAATTCCTGGGTATCCTTGTTGACTTTCTGTCTCATTGATCTGTCTAATGTTGACAGTGGGGTGTTAAAGTCTCCCATTATTAATGTGTGGGAGTCTAAGTCTCTTTGTAGGTCACTCAGGACTTGCTTTATGAATCTGGGTGCTCCTGTATTGGGTGCATATATATTTAGGATAGTTAGCTCCTCTTGTTGAATTGATCCCTTTACCATTATGTAATGGCCTTCTTTGTCTCTTTTGATCTTTGTTGGTTTAAAGTCTGTTTTATCAGAGACTAGGATTGCAACCCCTGCCTTTTTTTGTTTTCCATTTGCCTGGTAGATCTTCCTCTATCCTTTTATTTTGAGCCTATGTGTGTCTCTGCACGTGAGATGGGTTTCCTGAATACAGCACACTGATGGGTCTTGACTCTTTATCCAACTTGCCAGTCTGTGTCTTTTAATTGGAGAACTTAGTCCATTTACATTTAAAGTTAATATTGTTATGTGTGAATTTGATCCTGTCATTATGATGTTAGCTGGTGATTTTGCTCGTTAGTTGATGCAGTTTCTTCCTAGTCTCAATGGTCTTTACATTTTGGCATGATTTTGCAGCGGCTGGTACCGGTTGTTCCTTTCCATGTTTAGTGCTTCCTTCAGGAGCTCTTTTAGGGCAGGCCTGGTGGTGACAAAATCTCTCAGCATTTGCTTGTCTGTAAAGTATTTTATTTCTCCTTCACTTATGAAGCTTAGTTTGGCTGGATATGAAATTCTGGGTTGAAAATTCTTTTCTTTAAGGATGTTGAATATTGGCCCCCACTCTCTTCTGGCTTGTAGGGTTTCTGCCGAGAGATCCGCTGTTAGTCTGATGGGCTTCCCTTTGAGGGTAACCCGACCTTTCTCTCTGGCTGCCCTTAACATTTTTTCCTTCATTTCAACTTTGGTGAATCTGACAATTATGTGTCTTGGAGTTGCTCTTCTCGAGGAGTATCTTTGTGGCATTCTCTGTATTTCCTCAATCTGAACGTTGGCCTGCCTTGCTAGATTGGGGAAGTTCTCCTGGATAATATCCTGCAGAGTGTTTTCCAACTTGGTTCCATTCTCCCTGTCACTTTCAGGTACACCAATCAGACATAGATTTGGTCTTTTCACATAGTCCCATATTTCTTGGAGGCTTTGCTCATTTCTTTTTATTCTTTTTTCTCTAAACTTCCCTTCTCACTTCATTTCATTCATTTCATCTTCCATTGCTGATACCCTTTCTTACAGTTGATCGCATCGGCTCCTGAGGCTTCTGCATTCTTCACGTAGTTCTCGAGCCTTGGTTTTCAGCTCCATCAGCTCCTTTAAGCACTTCTCTGTATTGGTTATTCTAGTTATACATTCTTCTAAACTTTTTTCAAAGTTTTCAACTTCTTTGCCTTTGGTTTGAATGTCCTCCTGTAGCTCAGAGTAATTTGATCGTCTGAAGCCTTCCTCTCTCAGCTCATCAAAATCATTCTCCATCCAGCTTTTTTCCGTTGCTGGTGAGGAACTGCTTTCCTTTGGAGGAGGAGAGGCGCTCTACATTTTAGAGTTTCCAGTTTTTCTGTTCTGTTTTTTCCCCATCTTTGTGGTTTTATCTACTTTTGGTCTTTGATGATGGTGATGTACAGATGGGTTTTTGGTGTGGATGTCCTTTCTGTTTGTTAGTTTTCCTTCTAACAGACAGGACCCTCAGCTGCAGGTCTGTTGGAATACCCTGCTGTGTGAGGTGTCAGTGTGCCCTTGCTGGGGGGTGCCTCCCAGTTAGGCTGCTCGGGGGTCAGGGGTCAGGGACCCACTTGAGGAGGCAGTCTGCCCATTCTCAGATCTCCAGCTGCGTGCTGGGAGAACCACTGCTCTCTTCAAAGCTGTCAGACAGGGACATTTAAGTCTGCAGAGGTTACTGCTGTCTTTTTGTTTGTCTGTGCCCTGCCCGCAGAGGTGGAGCCTACAGAGGCAGGCAGGCCTCCTTGAGCTGTGGTGGGCTCCACCCAGTTTGAGCTTCCCGGCTGCTTTGTTTACCTAAGCAAGCCTGGGCAATGGCGGGCGCCCCTCCCCCAGCCTCGCTGCCGCCTTGCAGTTTGATCTCAGACTGCTGTGCTAGCAATCAGTGAGATTCCGTGGGTGTAGGACCCTCCGAGCCAGGTGTGGGATATAGTCTCGTGGTGCACCGTTTTTTAAGCTGGTCTGAAAAGCGCAATATTCGGGTGGGAGTGACCCGATTTTCCAGGTGCGTCCGTCACCCCTTTCTTTGACTCAGAAAGGGAACTCCCTGACCCCTTGCGCTTCCCAGGTGAGGCAATGCCTCGCCCTGCTTTGGCTCGCGCACGGTGCGCGCACCCACTGGCCTGCGCCCACTGTCTGGCACTCCCTAGTGAGATGAACCCGGTACTTCAGATGGAAATGCAGAAATCACCCGTCTTCTGTGTCGCTCACGCTGGGAGCTGTAGACCGGAGCTGTTCCTATTCGGCCATCTTGGCTCCTCCCCGCCAAATACCCACATTTTTTTTATCCAGTCTATCATTGATGGGCATTTCGCTGGTTCCAAGTCTTTGGTCTTGTAAATAGTGCTGCAATAAATATACGCGTGCATGTGTCTTTATAGTAGAGAGATTTATAATCATTTGGGTATATACCCAGTAATGGGATTGCTGGGTCAAATAATATTTCTGATTTTAGATCCTTGAGGAATTGCCACACAGTCTTCCACAATGGTTGAACTAATTTACACTCCCACCAGCAGTGTAAGACTGTTCCTATTTCTCCACATTCTCTCCAGCATCTGTTGTTTTCTGACTTTTTTTTTGTTTGTTTGTTTTGGAGACAGAGTCTGGCTCTGTCACCCAGACTGGAGTGCAGTGGCCCGATCTCAGCTCACTGCAACCTCTGCCTCCTGGGTTCAAGTGAGTCTCCTGCTTCGGCCTCCTGAGTAGCTGGGATTACAGGTGCGTACTACCATGACTGGCTAATTTTTGTGTATATATATATATTTTTTTTTTGACAGAGTTTTGTTCTTTGTTGCCCAGGCTGGAGTGCAATTGTGGGATCTGGGTTCACTGCAACCTCTGCCTCACGGGTTCCAGTGATACTCAGTCTCCTGAGTAGCTGGGATTACACTCATGCACCAACATGCCCAGCTAATGTTGTATTTTTAGTAGAGACAGGGTTTCACCATGTGGGTCAGGCTGGTCTCAAACTCCTGACTTCAAGTGATCTGCCCACCTCGGCCTCCCAAAATGCTGGGATTACAGGCATCAGCCACTGTGCCCAGTCTGTTTCCTGACTTTTTAATAATCACCATTCTAACTGGCATGAGATGGTATCTCATTGCGTTTTTGATTTACATTTCTGTAATGATCAGTGATGATGAGCTTTTTTTCATGTTTGTTGGACACATAAATGTCTTTTTTTGAGATATGTCTGTTCATATCCTTCACCCACTTTTTGATATGGTTGTTTGTTATTTTCTTGTAAATTTGTTTAAGTTACTTGTAGATTCTGGATATTAGATTTCGTCAGATGGATAGATTGCAAAATTTTTCTCCCATTCTGTTGGTTGCCTGTTCACTCTAATGATAGTGTCTTTTACTGTGCAGAAGCTCTTTAGTTTAATTAGATTCCATTTGTCAATTTTGGCTTTTCTTGCAATTGCTTTTGGTGTTTTAGTCATAAAGTTTTGCCCATGCCCATGTCCTGAATGATATTGTCTAGGTATTCTTCCAGGGATTTTATGGATTTGGTCTTACATTTAAGTCTTTAATCCATCTTGAGTTAATTTCTTAAATTATTATACTTTAAGTTCTAGGGTACATGTGCACAATGTGCAGGTTTGTCACATATGTATATATGTGCCATGTTGGTGTGCTGCATCCATTAACTCGTCTTTTACATTAGATATATTTCCTAATGCTATCCCTCCCCCCTACCCCCACCCTAACAACAGACGCCAGTGTGTGATGTCCCCTTCCTGTGTCCAAGTGTTCTCATTGTTTAATTCCCACCTATGAGTGAGAACATGTGATGTTTGGTTTTTTGTCCTTGCGATAGTTTGCTGAGAATGATGGTTTCCAGATTCATCCATGTCCCTATAAAGGAAATGAAGTCATCATTTTTTATGGCTGCATAGTATTCCATGGTGTATATGTGCCACATTTTCTTAATCCAGTCTATCGTTGTTGGACATTTGGCTTGGTTCCAAGTCTTTGCTATTGTGAATAGTGCTGCAATAAACATACGTGTGCATGTGTCTTTATAGCAGCATGATTTATAGTCCTTTGGGTATATATCCTGTAATGGGATGGCTGGGTCAAATGGTATTTCTAGTTCTAGATCCCTGAGGAATCGCCACACTGACTTCCACAAGGGTCGAACTAGTTTACAGTCCCACCAACAGTGTAAAAGTGTTCCTATTTCTCCACATCCTCTCCAGCACCTGTTGTTTCTGGACTTTTTAATGATTGCCATTCTAACTGGTGTGAGATGGTATCTCATTGTGGTTTTGATTTGCATTTATCTGATGGCCAGTGATGGTGAGCATTTTTTCATGTGTTTTTTGGCTGCATAAATGTCTTCTTTTGAGAAATGTCTGTTCATGTCCTTCGCCCACTTTTTGATGGGGTTGTTTGTTTTTTTTCTTGTAAATTTGTTTGAGTTTATTGTAGATTCCGGATATTAGCCCTTTGTCAGATGAGTAGGTTGTGAAAATTTTCTCCCATTTTGTAGGTTGCCTGTTCACTCTGATGGTAGTTTCTTTTGCTGTACAGAAGCTCTTGAGTTTAATTAGATCCCATTTGTCAATTTTGGCTTTTGTTGCCATTGCTTTTGGTGTTTTAGACATGAAGTCCTTCTCCATGCCTATGTCCTGAATGGTAATGCCTAGGTTTTCTTCTAGGGTTTTTGTGGTTTTAGGTCTAATGTTTAAGTCTTTAATGCATCTTGAATTAATTTTTGTATAAGGTGTAAGGAAGGGATCTAGTTTCAGCTTTCTACATATGGCTAGCCTCTTTTCCCAGCACCATTTATTAAATAGGGAATCCTTTCCCCATTGCTTGTTTTTCTCAGGTTTGTCAAAGATCAGATAGTTGTAGATATGCAGCATTATTTCTGAGGGCTCTTTTCTGTTCCATTGGTCTATATCTCTGTTTTTGTACCAGTACCATGCTGTTTTGGTTACTGTAGCCTTGTAGTATAGTTTGAAGTCAGGTTGCGTGATGCCTCCAACTTTGTTCTTTTGGCTTAGGATTGACTTGGCGATGAGGGCTCTTTTTTGGTTCCATATGAACTTTAAAGTAGTTTTTTCCAATTCTGTGAAGGAAGTCATTGGTAGCTTGATGGGGATGGCATTGAAATTACCTTGGGCAGTATGGCCATTTTCATGATATTGATTCTTCCTACCCATGAGCATGGAATGTTCTTCCATTTGTTTGTATCCTCTTTTATTTCCTTGAGCAGTGGTTTGTAGTTCTCCTTGAAGAGGTCCTTCACATCCCTTGTAAGTTGGATTCCTAGGTATTTTATTCTCTTTGAAGCAATTGCGAATGGGAGTTCACTCATGATTTGGCTCTTTGTTTGTCTGTTATTTGTGTATAAGAATGCTTGTGATTTTTGTACATTGATTTTGTATCCTGAGACTTTGCTGAAGTTGCTTATCAGCTTAAGGAGATTTTGGGCTGAAACAATGGGGTTATCTAGATATACAATCATGTCATCTGCAAACAGGGACAATTTGACTTCCTCTTTTCCTAACTGAATATGCCTTATTTCCTTGTCCTGCCTCGTTGCCCTGGCCAGAACTTCCAATACTATGTTGAATAGGAGTGGTGAGAGAGGGCATCCCTGTCTTGTGCCAGTTTTCAAAGGGAATGCTTCCAGTTTTTGCCCATTCAGTATGATATTGGCTGTGGGTTTGTCATAAATAGCTCTTATTATTTTGAGATATGTCCCATCAATACCTAATTTATTGCGAGTTTTTAGCATGAAGTGTTGTTGAATTTTGTCAAAGGCCTTTTCTGCATAGATAATCATGTGGTTTTTGTCTTTGGTTCTGTTCATATGCTGGATAACATTTATTGATTTGCATATATTGAACCAGCCTTGTATCCCAGGGATGAAGCCCTCTTGATCATGGTGGATAAGCTTTTTGATGTGCTGCTGGATTTGGTTTGCCAGTATTTTATTGAGGATTGTTGCATCAATGTTCATCAAGGATATTGGTCTAAAATTCTCTTTTTTGGTTGCATCTCTGCCAGGCTTTGGTATCAGGATGATGCTGGCCTCATAAAATGAGTTAGTGAGTCCCTCTTTTTCTATTGATTAGAATAGTTTCAGAAGGAATGGTACCAGTTCCTCCTTGTACCTCTGGTAGAATTCGGCTGTGAATCCACCTGGTCCTGGACCTTTTTGGTTGGTAAGCTATTGATTATTGCCACAATTTCAGATCCAGTTATTGGTCTATTCAGAGAGTCAACTTCTTCCTGGTTTAGTCTTGGGAGGGTGTATGTGTCAAGGAATTTATCCATTTCTTCTAGATTTTCTAGTTTATTTGCATAGAGGTGTTTGTAGTATTCTCTGATGGTAGTTTGTATTTCTGTGGGATCGGTGGTGATATCCCCTTTGTCATTTTTATTGCGTCTATTTGATTCTTCTCTGTTTTCTTCTATATTAGTCTTGCTAGCGGTCTATCAATTTTGTTGATCCTTTCAAAAAACCAACTATTGGATTCGTTAATTTTTTGAAGTGTTTTTGTGTCTCTATTTCCTTCAGTTCTGCTCTGATTTTAGTTATTTCTTGCCTTCTGCTAGCTTTTGAATGTGTTTGCTCTTGCTTTTCTAGTTCTTTTAATTGTGATGTTAGGGTGTCAATTTTAGATCTTTCCTGCTTTCTTTTGTGGGCATTTAGTGCTATAAATTTCCCTCTACACACTGCTTTGAATGTGTCCCAGAGATTCTGGTATGTTGTATCTTTGTTCTCAGTGGTTTCAAAGAACATCTTTATTTCTGCCTTCATTTCGTTATGTACCCAGTAGTCATTCAGGAGCAGGTTGTTCAGTTTCCATGTAGTTGAGCAGTTTTGAGTGAGTTTCTTAATCCTGAGTTCTCGTTTGATTGCACTGTGGTCTGAGAGACAGTTTGTTATAATTTCTGATATTTTACATTTGCTGAGGAGAGCTTTACTTCCAACTATGTGGTCAATTTTGGAATAGGTGTGGTGTGGTGCTGAAAAAACTGTATATTCTGTTGATTTGGGGTGGAGAGTTCTGTAGATGTCTATTAGGTCCGCTTGGTGCAGAGCTGAGTTCAATTCCTGGGTAGCCTTGTTAACTTTCTGTCTTGTTGATCTGTCTAATGTTGACAGTGGGGTGTTAAAGTCTCCCATTATTATTGTGTGGGAGTCTAAGTCTCTTTGTAGGTCACTCAGGACTTGCTTTATGAACCTGGGTGCTCCTGTATTGGGTGCATATATATTCAGGATAGTTAGCTCTTCTTGTTGAATTGATCCCTTTACCATTATGTAATGGCCTTATTTGTCTCTTTTCATCTTTGTTGGTTGAAAGTCTGTTTTATCAGAGAGTAGGTTTGCAATCCCTGCCTTTTTTTGTTTTCCATTTGCTTGGTAGATCTTCCTCCATCCTTTTATTTTGAGCCTATGTGTGTCTCTGCACGTGAGATGTGTTTCCTGAATACAGCACACTGATGGGTCTTGACTTTTTATCCAATTTGCCAGTCTGTGTCTTTTAATTGGAGCATTTAGTCCATTTATATTTAAAGTTAATATTGTTATGTGTGAATTTGATCCTGCCATTATGATGTTAGCTGGTTGTTTTGCTTGTTAGTTGATGCAGTTTCTTCCTAGCCTTGATGGTCTTTACAATTTGGCATGATTTTGCAGTGGCTGGTACCGGTTGTTCCTTTCCATGTTTAGTGCTTCCTTCAGGAGCTCATTTAGGGCAGGCCTGGTGGTGACAAAATCTATCAGCATTTGCTTGTCTTTAGAGGATTTTATTTGTGTTTCACTTATGAAGCTTAGTTTGGCTGGATATGAAATTCTGGGTTGAAATTCTTTTCTTTAAGATTGTTGAATATTGGCCCCCACTCTCTTCTGGCTTGTAGAGTTTCTGCCTGGAGATCCACTGTTAGTCTGATGGGCTTCCCTTTGTGGGTAACCCAACCTTTCTCTCTGGCTGCCCTTAACATTTTTTCCTTCATTTCAACTTTGGTGAATCTGACAATTATGTGTCTTGGAGTTGCTCTTCTCGAGGAGTATCTTTGTGGCATTCTCTGTATTTCCTGAGTCTGAATGTTGGCCTGCCTTGCTAGATTGGGGAAGTTCTCCTGGATAATATCCTGCAGAGTGTTTTCCAACTTGGTTCCATTCTCCCTGTCACTTTCAGGCACACCAATCAGACGTAGATTTGGTCTTTTCACATAGTCCCATATTTCTTGGAGGCTTTGTTCATTTCTTTTTATTCTTTTTTCTCTAAAGTTCCCTTCTCGCTTCATTTCATTCATTTCATCTTCCATCACGATACCCTTTCTTCCAGTTGATCGCATCAGCTCTTGAGGCTTCCGCATTCTTCACGTAGTTCTTGAGCCTTGGCTTTCAGCTCCGTCAGCTCCTTTAAGCACTTCTTTGTATTGGTTATTCTAGTTATACATTCGTCTAAAGTTTTTTCAAAGTTTTCAACTTCTTTGCCTTTGGTTTGAATTTCCTCCTGTAGCTTGGAGTAGTTTGATCGTCTGAAGCCTTTTTTTCTCAACTCATCAAAGTCATTCTGCGTCCAGCTTTGTTCTATTGCTGGTGAGGAGCTGCTTTCCTTTGGAGGAGGAAAGGCACTCTGCTTTTTAGAGTTTCCAGTTTTTCTGCTCTGTTTTTTCCCCATCTTTGTGGTTTTATCTAGTTTTGGTCTTTGATGATGGTGATGTACAGATGGGTTTTTGGTGTGGATGTCCTTTCTGTTTGTTAGTTTTCCTTCTAACAGACAGGACCCTCAGCTGCAGGTCTGTTGGAGTTTGCTAGAGGTCCACTCCAGACCTGGTTTTCCTGGGTACCAGCTGCAGTGGCTGCAGAACAGCAGAGTTTCGTGAACTGCGAATGCTGCTGTCTGATCGTTCCTCTGGAAGTTTTGTCTCAGAGGAGTACCCAGCTGTGTGAGGTGTCAGTCTGCCCTTACCAGGGGGTGCCTCCCATTTAGGCTGCTCAGGGTTCAGGGGTCAGGGACCCACTTGAGGAGGCAGTCTGCCCATTCTCAGATCTCCAGCTGCATGCTGGGAGAACCACTGCTCTCTTCAAAGCTGTCAGACAGGGACATTTAAGTCTGCAGAGGTTACTGCTGTCTTTTTTTTTGTCTGTGCCCTGCCCCCAGAGGTGGAACCTACAGAGGCAGGCAGGCCTCCTTGAGCTGTGGTGGGCTCCACTCAGTTCGAGCTTCCCGGCTGCTTTGTTTACCTAAGCAAGCCTGGGCAATGGCGGGCGCCCCTCCCCCAGCCTCTCTGCCGCTTTGCAGTTTGATCTCAGACTGCTGTGCTAGCAATCATCGAGACTCCGTGGGCGTAGAACCCTCTGAGCCAGGTGCAGGATATAATCTCCTGATGCACCGTTTTTTAATCCTGTTGGAAAAGCGCAGTATTGGGGTGGGAGTGACCCGATTTTCCAGGTGCCATCTGTGACCCCTTTCTTTGACTAGGAAAGGGAACTCCCTGACCCCTTGTGCTTCCTGAGTGAGGCAATGCCTCGCCCTGCTTCAGCTCACACACGGTGCACTGCACCCACTGTCCTGCGCCCACTGTCTGGCACTCCCTAGTGAGATGAACCACGTACCTCAGATGGAAATGCAGAAATCACCCATCTTCTGCGTTGCTCATGCTGGGAGCTGTAGACCAGAGCTGTTCCTATTTGGCCGTCTTGGCTCCAGCCTCACCACATTTTCTTAATCCAGTCTATCATTGTTGGACATTCGGGTTGGTTCCAGGTCTTTGCTATTGTGAATAGTGCTGCAATAAACATACGTATGCATGTGTCTTTATAGCAGCATGATTTATAATCCTTTGGGTATATATCCAGTAATGGGATGGCTGGGTCAAATGGTATTTCTAGCTCTAGATCCCTGAGGAATCACCACACTGTCTTCCACAATGGTTGAACCAGTTTACACTCTCACCAACAGTGTAAAAGTGTTCCTATTTCTCCCCTCCTCTCCAGCACCTGTCTTTTACTGACATTTTAATGATTGCCATTCTAACTGGTGTGAGATAGTATCTCATTGCGGTTTTGATTTGCATTTCTCTGATGGCCAGTGATGATGAGCATTTTTTCCTGTGTCTGTTGGCTGCATAAATGTCTTCTTTTGAGAAGTGTCTGTTCATATCCTTCACCCATTTGTTGATGGGGTTGTTTGCTTTTTTCTTGTAAATTTGTCTGAGTTCATTGTAGATTCTGGATATTAGCCCTTTGTCAGATGAGCAGCTTGCAAAAATTTTCTCCCCCTCTGTAGGTTGCTACAGAGTGGCATCTGCTCACTCTGATGGTAGTTTCTTTTGTTGCTCAGAATCTCTTTAGTTTAATTAGATCCCATTTGTCAATTTTTGCTTCTGTTGTCATTGCTTTTGGTGTTTTAGACATGAAGTCCTTGCCCATGTCTATGTCCTGGATGGTATTGCCTAGGTTTTCTTCTAGGGTTTTTATGGTTTTAGATTTAACATTTAAGTCTTTAATCCATCTTGAATTAATTTTTGTATAAGGTGTAAAGGTGTAAGGAAGGGATCCAGTTTCAGCTTTCTACATATAGCTAGCCCGTTTTCCCAGCACCATTTGTTAAATAGGGAATCCTTTCCCCATTTCTTGTTTTTGTCAGGTTTGTCAAAGATCAGATAGTTGTAGACATGTGGTATTATTTCTGAGGGCTCTGTTCTGTCCCATTGGTCTATATCTCTGGTTTGGTACCAGTACCATGCTGTTTTGGTTACTGTAGCCTTGTAGTATAGTTTGAAGTCAGGTAGCCTGATGCCTCTAGCTTTGTTCTTTTGGCTTAGGATCGACTTGGCAATGCAGGCTCTTTTTTGGTTCCATATGAACTTTAAATTAGTTTTTTCCAATTCTGTGAAGAAAGTCATTGGTAGCTTGATGGGGATGGCATTGAATCTGTAAATTACCTTGGGCAGTATGGCCATTTTCACGATTTTGATTCTTCCTATCCATGAGCATGGAGTTTTCTTCCATTTGTATCTTCTTTTATTTTGTTGAGGAAGTTCTGGCCAGGGCAATCAGAAAGGAGAAAGAAAGAAAGTGTATTCAATTAGGAAAAGAGGGAGTCAAATTGTCTCTGTTTGCAGATGACATTATTGTATATCTAGAAAACCCCATCGTCTCAGCCCAAAATCTCCTTAAGCTGATAAGCAACTTCAGCAAAGTCTCAGGATACAAAATCAATGTGCAAAAATCACAAGCATTCTTATATACCAACAACAGAGAAACAGCCAAATCATGATGAACTCCCATTCACAATTGCTTCAAAGAGAATAAACTACCTAGGAATCTAACTTACAAGGGATGTGAAGGACCTCTTCAATTAGTTAATTTTTGTGTAAGGTGTAAGGAAGGGGTACATTTTCAGTTTTCTGCATATGGCTAGTCAGTTTTCCAAACACCGTTTATTAAATAGGGAAACCATTCCCCATTGCTTGTTTTTGTCAGGTTTGTCAAAGAGCAGATGGTTGTAGATGTGTGGCGTGATTTCTGAGGCCTCTGTTCTGTTCCATTGGTCTATATATCTGTTTTGGTACCAGTACCATGCCATTTTGGTTACTGTAGCCTTGTAGTATAGTTTGAAATCAGGTTGCATGATGCCTCCAGCTTTGTTCTTTTTGCTTAGTATTGTCTTGGCAATATGGGCTCTTTTTAGTTCCATATGAAATTTAAAGTAGTTTTTTCTAATTCTCTGAAGAAAGTCAATGGTAGTTTGATGGGAATAGTGTTGAATCTATAAATTACTTTGAGCATTGTGGCCATTTTCACAATATTGATTCTTCCTATCCATGAGCCTGGAATGTTTTTCCATTCGTTTGTGTCCTCTCTGATTCCCTTGAGCAGTGGTTTGTAGTTCTCCTTGTAGAGGTCCTTCACATCCCTTGTAAGTTGGATTCCTAGGTATTTTATTCTCTTTGAAGCAATTGTGAATGGGAGTTCACTCATGATTTGGCTGTTTGTCTGTTATTGGTGTATAAGAATGCTTGTGATTTTCGTACATTGATTTTGTATCCTAAGACTTTGCTGAAGTTGCTTATTAGCTTAAGGAGTTTTGGGGCTGAGATGATGGTGTTTTCTAAATATACAATCATATCATCTGCAAACAGAGACAATTTGACTTCCTCTCTTTCTATTTGAATACCTTTATTTCTTTCTCTTTCCTAATTGCCCTGGCCAGAACTTCCAATACTATGTTGAATAGGAGTGGTGAGAGAGGGCATTCTTGTCTTGTGCAGGTTTTCAGAGGGAATGCTACCAGTTTTGCCCATTCTGTATGATATTGGCTATGGGTTTTTCATAAATAGGTCTTATTATTTTGAGATATGTTTCATCAATACCTAGTTTATTATGTTTAGAATGAATGGGTGTTGAATTTCATCAGAGGCCTTTTCTGCATCTATTGAGATAATCATGTGCTTTTTGTCATTTGTTCTGTTTACTTGACGGATTACATTTATTGATTTCTGTTTGTTCAACCAGCCTTGCATCCCAGGGATGAAGCTGACTTGATCACGGTGGATAAGGTTTTTGATGTGCTGCTGGATTCGGTTAGCCAGTATTTTATAGAGGATTTTCGCATTGATGTTCATGAGGGATATTGGCCTAAAATTTTGTTTTTTTTGTTGTGTCTCTGCTAGGTTTTGGTGTCAGGATGATGCTGGCCTCATAAAATGAGTTAGGAAGGCGTGCCTCTTTTTCTATTGTATGGAATATTTTCAGAAGGAATGGTACCAGCAGCTCTTTGTACCTCTGGTATAATTCGGCTGTGAATCCAGCTGGTCCTGGGCTTTTTTTCTTGGTAGGTTATTAATTACTACCTCAATTTCAGAACTTTTTATTGGTCTATTCAGCGATTCAACTTCTTCCTGGCTTAGTGTCTGGAGTGTGAATGTGTCCAGGAATTTGTCCTTTTCTTCTAGATTTTCTAGTTTATTTGTGTAGAGGTGTTTATGGTATTCTGTGATGGTAGTTTGTATATCAGTGGGACACTGGTAATATTCCCTTTATCATTTTTTATTGTGTCTATTTAATTCTTCTCTCTTTTCTTCTTTATTAGTCTGGCTAGTGCTCTATATATTTTGTTAATCTTTTCAAAAAACCAGCAACTGGATTCATTGATTTTTTGAAGGGTTTTTCATGTCTCTATCTCCTTCAGTTCTGCTCTGATCTTAGTTATTTCTTGTCTTCTGCTAGCTTTTGAATTTGTTTGCTCTTGCTTCTCTAGTTCTTTTAATTGTGATGTTAGGGTGTCAATTTTATTTTATTTTATTTTTTCTTATTATTCTTTAAGTTCTAGGGTACATTTGCACAATGTGCAGGTTTGTTACATATGTATACTTGTGCCATGTTGGTTTGCTGCACCCATTAACTCATCATTTACATTAGATATTTCTCCTAATGCTATCCCTCCCCCATCTCCCCACCACACAACAGGCCCTGGTGTGTGATGTTCCCCACACTGTGTCCAAGTGTTCTCATTGTTCAATTCCCACCTATGAGTGAGAACATTTGGTGTTTGGTTTTCTTTCCTTGTGATAGTTTGCTCAGAATGATGGTTTCCTGCTTCATCCATGTCGCTACAAAGGACATGAACTAATCGTTTTTTATCACTGCACAGTATTCCATGGTGTATATGTGCCACGTGTTCTTAATTCAGTCTATCATTGATGGACATTTGGGTTGGTTCCCAACCCAAAAGACCTTGGAAACACAGTATATTGATGCAAATTGTTGAGAGCTTCAACTGACAGAAAGGTGCCTGAGCTCCTGTTGCAGTCCTGCTCCTCACTTTGACCCCATCCTCACTCACTGACAGGGTCTCTTTCAGCTCTTCTGTCACCTCTGTTTTATTTGTGTCTGGAGAGTTCATAGCTGATTTTTATTCTTCTCTAATACACTAATCTTTTTCACTCATTGCTGACATTGGAAAATGTCAGGGAAAGGGCGTGAGCTGAGTGATATTTGAAGGCAATGCTTGCTGTCTTCCTGTATTCACCAAGACAAGGGGGAGCCTTTCTTTCACCAGGACTATCACTTCTACAGGAACCTATGCAACGAGGCAAGTCTGCATGGCACTTCCCTCTGTGCCTGCCCTCTGATCTTCCTTTCCTACTTAGAAGGTCCAGCATAAGTCACTAAGCAGGAACATTCATCTCCAGTTTCCCTGTCCAATTAGTGTGTGTGGAATGTAGTGACACTCATCCCAATAACATTAGGGTACCTGCTAGGCCAGGCAACTATTCTGTGCCTCCCATAAAGCACATAAAGCCAAGCTACAATTGTTTTATTATTGCATAGCCAAAGAAGAATTGCTAACTGGTAATATATTTCCTCTTAGCAAACATCCCTAATATTCCAGAAGGGGTGAGGGAGGAAAACAACAATCTGCCTGATCACCAGCCAATGGCAGAGTAATCAGCAACAAACTTCATTGTATGAGGACAACTTCCAGTAATATAAGGCATCTTCAAACTGTTTGTGGAAAATATATATTATTTTTTAAAATTATGCAGGGATACAAACATTTTTCATACCAAAATACATTTTTACTAACTTGTTACAACATGTCTGAAAAGGATATAGTTCAGTCACTAACATGGTTGAGACAGCAGTTTGAAAACAACTTCTATCAGATCAACAAATATTCTACTAAAATTGTATCAAGAACAAATATCAAGTTTATGATGCAGCTTGGGCGGAGGGATGGTGAAATCACTGATGCATCATGAAATATTTGTGCCCAAGTAAATCAGCCCTTCACAAATGGATAACTCCTTTTAAGAATTGACTAGATGATGGTGAAGATGAACTCTGCAGCAGCAGACCATACACAGCAACTTATGGGCAAAAATTTTATCTTCTTTTATTCCAATTGAAGAGACCTCACAGTTAACAGCAGAAAAAAGGGCTAGCACAAGAAGACTGTCAATTGGTTCAGATTACATAAATTTTTTTCTGGCTGAAAAATTAAAGTTGAGCAAACTATCGACTTGATGATGGCCAAAACTGCTGTACCTGAGTCAGCTACAGAGAAGAACAGAAGGTTCAATGAAAAATTAAAGAAGTAGGAAGTAGAAGAAAAGAAAAGAAAAGATCCTAAAGCATTTCTTTGGAGAGTTGTAACAGGAAATCAAACATGGCTTTACCAGTGCCATCCTAAAGGAAAAACACAATCAAAGCAATGGCTACCAAGAGGTGGAAGTGGTCTAGTCTAAATAAATGCGACAAGAGCAAACATCATGTCAACGGTATTTTTGGATGTTCGAGGTATTTTGTTTGTTAACTTTCTGGAGGGTCAAAGATGACGACATCAGCTTATAAGTTTGGAGTTTGGAGAAAGTTAGCCAAATCTTTAGCAGATAAATGGATGAGATTGGATGCCTAGTGAATGTCCCTCATAAGTCTGGCAAAATTGCCCTTGTTTCATGAGAGAAATGAGCAGGAGCATTGTTGTGATGGATAAGAACTCTCTGCTAAAGCTTTTCCGGGCATTTCCCTGCTAAAGTTTTGGCTAACTTACTCCATACTCTCTCATAAGTTGATGTTATCATTCTAAGTCAAGCAACTTAGGAATGGAAAAGCCAACATCGCATGTTCTCACTCATGAATCGGAGCTAAACTATGAGAATGCGAAGGCATAAGAATGACACAATGGACTTTGGGAACTCAGGGGGAAAGAGTGGGAAAGGGGAGAGGGGTAAAAGACGTCACTTTTACCTCTCTCTTATACACTGGGTGCAGTGTATACTGCCCGGATGATGGGTGCACCAAAATCTCACAAATCACCACTGCAGAACTGATTCACATAACCAAACACCACCTGTTCCCCAAGCTATGTAAATAAAACAAAAAAGAAAAAAAAAAAAAAGAAAATCCCTAGGCACCCAACTTACAGTTCTGATGCAGTATCTTTGGACTTCAGATTTTTTTTCTAATATTGAAATATTTTTAAAGTGTACTCTGTTTTCTTCAGTTAATGATGTGAAAAGACTGCATTCTGAAACTAATTTCAGGATCGTCAATTTTTATAGATAGGCTAAATTACTTGTATCATTACTTGCTAAACTTCTTGAATGTGATGGAGCTTACGTTAAGAAATAAAGTTTACATAATGTCTACTTTCATATTGTAATTATATTCTTCCACAAACTTTTTGAAATCCCCTTTTATTCTCAAACCATTCTGGAAGGGCAGGAACAGATTCTTATGTGTACAACACAGGATCCCCTCATCCAACTGATCAAGCAGTTTGTCTTTAGGATTTCCAGTCACATCCCCCTACTCATTACTTCTAACATGGCCATCCCGAAGTTATCACTATCCCTGAACAAAAACTGAATGACAGCACGAGACTTATTCAAAGCCTGAAATGATAAGTGGCAGCTGTTGATACTGACTCACCTACGCTTTCCATGAAAAGGATGAAAGGATGGGCAGGAACTACTTGATATAACAGAAAAGTCAGCAGATGAAAAGAGAGCTACCAACAGAACCTCAGTAAAAAGACCTTGGAAACACAGTATATTGATGCAAATTTTAAAAACAAAAAGAAAAATAAAGGAGTAACAAGAAATATAGATGGTTACTTAGAAGATTAGATTTAAAAATTTTCCCAAATTTCATTTAAAAAGAAGTCAGATATAAGATGAAAAGTAAACACAGGCAAGATTGATTTAGAACACAAAATTTCAATAAATACATTTTAGAAAGAGACTGGGAAGAAATTAGTTTCAGAATATTGCAAAAATGAAAAAAATTTCTGTGTGAAAGAACAGTCTGGGAGACAGATATCACAGGCTCTAAGAAATAGATCAATGCAATACTCTTGAGGCTTTTATGTGGGTGCCAGACCATCTTATTTAAGCATATAATTGTGACCACGCATTTTAATTGGGAGTGATTAAAAATTTTTCCTAGAAGAAAGGCTGAATGTGGCAACTGATGCCTATAATCGCAGGACTTTGGAAGAGTGAGGTGTGAGGATCCCTTGAGGCCAGAAGTTCAAGACCAGGCCGGACACGGTGGCTCATGCCTGTAATCCCAGCACTTTGGGAGGCCGAGGCGGGCAGATCATGAGATCAGGAGATCGAGACCATCCTGGCTAACACAGTGAAACCCCGTTTCTATTAGAAATACAAAACCAAATTAGCCGGGCGTGGTGGTGGGCGCCTGTAGTCTCAGCTACTAAGGAGGCTGAGGCAGGAGAATGGCGTGAACCCAGGAGGCGGAGCTTACAGTGAGCAGAGATTGCGCCACTGCACTCCAGCCTGGGACAGAGTGAGACTCCGTCTCCAAAAAAAAAAAAAAAAAAAAAAAAAGGCCAGCCTGAGCAAAGTGAGGCTCCATCTCTTCAAGAAAAGTTTAAAACAAACAAACAAAAAATAAACGGACATGGTGTCATGAACCTGTAATTCAAGCCACTCAAGAGGCAGAAGCGGGGGGAATCCCCTGAGCACAGGAGTTCAAGGATGCTGTAAGCCAGGATCATGACACCACACTCCAGCCTGGGTGACAGAGCGAGAATCTATATTAAAAAACAAAATTTCCTAAAAGATGTAAATCCCAAACTGAATCTGATCAAACATTCTAACAAAGGGGTAGAGCAAGGAAAAAAATTTAAAGACAAAATAGGATGTCCCCTTTAAGAACTGTGTATTCATTCTGTTCATTCTAGAACCCCTTGGTAGTTTTCGGGGCCAACTTTGTTTTAACCTCCCCATGAATATTAATAATACAATGCGTGAAGACACCTGTATTCTACAACACCAAGACTTTTCTGACTAGAGCCAGATCAAAGAATATTAGACAATCTGTGTGGGTCTGACCAGGCTGAGGGCCAACCTTCTGTCAGCCATGAATGGCCAGGTTTGTGTTGTCTTCACACAGCTCAAAGTTCCAAAGAAATAATCTCTATATAATCAAATATTTAGCAAAATATGATAGGCATAGGTATACAAAAATCCACAACCAACTTCTTGTCCCTTAGAATATGATTGTGTTTAGAAAACAGCCCTAGGAAGAGGTTATCAAGCTGAAATGATGGAGTTTCAGTGGAACTAAATCCAATAAGATTGCTGTCCTTATAAGAAGTGGAAATTCCTTATAAGAACTGGAAATTTGTAGAGAGAGACACAGGAAGTACATACACATCCATGGAAGGACACAGCAAGAAGGCAGATACCTAGATGCCAAGCAGACACAGCCCAGAAGAACTAAACCTGCTGACACCTTCCTCATGGAACTTGAGCATCCAGAAGTGTTGGAAAGTAATTTCTATTGCTTAAGAATACCTAGTCTGTGATATTTTGTTTTGACGGCTATGATGAAGAAATTCAGGGGAGAGCAGGTTTTAGGAGTAGAAATCAAGAGTCCTGCTTGGCACATGGTAAATTTACATTTGTTTTAAATGGCAAGTGGATTACTGAGGTCCTTGACTCATGGACAAGTGCCTAAGCTCCTGTTGCAGTCCTGCTCCTTGCTTTGACCTCATCCTAAGTGACACTGTCTCCTTCAGTTCTTTGGTAACCTCTGTTTTGGTTGTCTCTGGTAGCTTGATACCTGATATTTACTCCTTCCTGATATGCTAATCTCTTTCATGCATTTCTGACATAGGAGAAGGTCATGAATAGGGTGTGAGCAGAGTGATATTTGGAAGCATCACCTCTTGGCTTGCTGTACTCAGTAGACAAAAAGAAGCCTGCCTCCAACCAGGACTATTGACTCCCACAAGGAGGCACATCTGCCTGGCACTCCTCTCTGCTTCTTCTCTCTTGTGTTTCTTCCCTACCTGATGGGCCATCGTAAGCTACCTAGGCCAGACTGCTCATCGCCAGCTTATCTTTCCAAATAATGTTTGGTGAAACCAGAGAAAATCATTCAATAAGATCAGGACACCAGGTTGGCCCAAGCACTCTGTGTCTCTATTAAAGCATGTGACTCTTACTTACAAATGTTAAACTTTCCATGTAGCTGGAGAAAATTTGGCCATTGGTATTATATTCCACCTTCAGAAAACATTCCTATTTATGCTAGGAGAAAAACAAGAAACCAATCTGCCTAGTCAGCTGGAAAAGTCTAAGTTACCTGTAGTAGAGCTTGTTGTATCAGGACGCCTTCCTATATGCAGTGGGTTGTTAAAATGTTAATGGAAAATGTATATTCTATTAAGAAATACCATGAATGGATTCCAAGTTTTTTGGCACCAAAATGAAATCATAATGTTTTGCTATAACATGTCTGAACACGAGCTAGTTTGAGGCATCAAGAAAAATAAGAGAGCAGTTTCAAAAGAGCTCCTAGAAGAGCAACATGAATTCTTCTAAAAGTAAAGTGAGTAAAAACATCAAATTTATGGTGAAGCTTGGGTGGAAGAAGATGAAATCATTGATGGTGTCCAAAAAGTTGTCCTACTTGGCACATGGTAAGTTGACATTGGTTGAAGAAGTCAGCAGTTCACAAATTCAATGAGGAGTTCCTCATTTCAGGAAGGAATGAGGCAATGTTGAACCTAAAGTCTACAGTGACAGATGATTCACATCATATTGCAAGGAATAAATTCATCTTCTTTATACCCAGGAGAAGATGTGTGATGATTAGCAGTTCACACAATAGCCAACATTGCAGACTTCTCAGTTGGTTCAGTTTACATGATTCTAACTGAATGATTAAAGTTTAGTAAACTTTTCACTTGATGGATGCCCAAACTGTGTCACCAAGATGAAGTACAGACAAGAGCAGAAGTTTCCCTAAAAAATTTAAATAGGAGCAATGAAGACTGTAAGCATTTCTTCAAGGAATTATAAGAGGAGATAACGCATGGCTTTACCAGTAAAATCCTGAAAACAAATACAATCAATGCAATGGCTACCAAGAAGTGGAAAAGTCCAGTCAAAACAAAAGTGGATGAGGAGAGCACAAAGGTCATGGCAAGAGTTTATTGGAAAGCTCAAGTCATTTTGCTGGTTGACTTTCTGGAGAATGACAATAACTGCTTATTCTGAGAATACTTTGAGAAAGCCAAAGCTTTAGTATAGGAATCCCTGGGAAAGCTTCAGCAGAGTCCTTCACCACAACCTTGCTCCTGCTCATTTATCTTATCAAACAGGGCAATTATATGAGAGTTCTGATGGAAAATCATTAGGCTTGCACATTACAACCCTAATTTGTTTCCTTTGGATTTCTTTTTGTTTTGTAATCTTATAACATTTGTAAAAGGCATTCATTTTTCTTCAGTTAATAATGTAAAAAACACATATCAATAGCTGGCACATTGACCAAAATGTATGACAAGTGGTCAATAAATCTTTTCCTTTTATATAGCTCATTAAGAAGTAGGATTAGGAAATGGTTGTAAACTGAGTACCAGGTGGTATAATTGAAACCAACTTCCCATGTAACACTTAGTTTTTGCTCCATTCCACAGATAACAGGAGGTAAAGTGTTAAAAATCCCCCAAAGCTGTTGCACACCTTTGGGGGGACTTCAAATTCAGTGTTTATTCATTTGAGTCTTAGGCTGCGGTTACAATGCTTGAATTAGCCAGTAAATGTATCTTGCTTACTTGCATGAAGATGCTTTGTTCACATCTGTCTTATCACTTCTTTTCCTCTACTCTGATTTCAGTTCCTTTAAGGCTGAGATGACCCTGGCCCAAGAAGGACTAAAGGCCCTACATACCCATCTCCAAATATTGTAAAAATATCAAGGAGGGTAGAAACATAAATATTTATAGCTCTATTGCCCATACTTGCTCAGTTCACCATTGTACTTGATTTTGTCGGAGTGTGGGAAGGCTTGCTGAGGATACAGGATAGAGCCACAGTGGCACATGAGGGGAAAGAAAGGAAGAGACTGCAAGTCTGTAGAATCCATAGACATTGGAGATGCATTTGAAAGGAAGTAGACCCTGGGGCTAGAAGCCAAGGTGGGGGAAAAAAACCTTTTCAGTTGCAGCAGTCATTTATTATTATTAATGTTATTATTAGTATTATTTCTTTTTAGAGACAGGGACTTGCTCTGTCTCTTAAGCTGGAGTACAGTGGTGCAATCATGGCTCACTGCAGTCTTGAACTCCTGGGATCAAACAATTCTTCCAGATCACCTTCTGAATTAGATGGGACTACAGGTGCCAATCACCATGCAAGGTTGATTTTGTACATTTTCTTATATACATGGGGACGTCTCACTGCATTGCTCAGGCTGATCTTGAATTCCTGGCATCAATAGTCCTCCAACCTCAGCCTCCAAAAGTAGTGGGATTACAGTCATGAGCCAGCATGCTAGGTGTATAGTCACTCTTTCTACCTCTGCCTCATTTTCCTGCATTCTGTAAATCCCCAGTCAGAAGACAGCAGGGCTGCCTGGCTACGGGGATAGCATCTAAGAAACAAATGTTAAACTCTGCGGTTCCTGTAGGGCAAAAGAAAAAAGAAGTGCTTGAGTTCAATTGAGCTTTGAGCAAATGGGTTACAAAAGATGAAAAGTTAGGAAGATGTTGTGGATAGGGCTCTTGGGACTCATTCAGTGCACTTTTCTATTGTTTTTAATTTTATAAGTGTGTATTATGTGAAATACTTATGCTTTTATCTCATAAGAGCCAAGGGGAATCATCCACGTAGAAGCTCCAAGTAGAATAATGTCAGTGGGACTAACCCATCTGCCAGTGGAGCCAGTAGGTGGATCACAATGCAGCCTGAGTGCCTGCACCCTTCAATGTCCAAAGCTTGCCTTATTGAACTTTTCATGTATTGTAAACTGAGAAAATGCCTATCTGAGGAATACAATAGAAAACTACTCAATATACTTTTACAAACCGTAAACAATTGACCAATTCTTCATGAAGCATGCAACCAAGGGATGACAACCTTGAAACAACTTGGATATGGAAATGATCAGACTTTAAAGCAGCTCTTATAGCCATCTTTTCTGAGGTAAATGTGAACATTTCCAAAATAAAGAGGGAAATAACTTCTCAGCAGAAAAGAATGGGAAAAAACTTCTCAGCAGAAAAAGGAACTATAAAATATTATAAAATAGAAATTTCAGAACTGACATATATAATGTCTAAAATTAAGAAAAAACCATATTGGCTGTGAAAATTATCAGAAAGCAAATGATTGAGGAAAGACTCAGTCAGTGTTTAGGGGTTGCAATAATAGAAATTCTATACTCTGAACAACACAGGGTAAAACAATTGAAAAAATTTAACATAGTTTCACAAATATGAAAGGCCACAACAAATGATGCGACAATCATGCAATCTGAATTTCAGAAAACAGAACAATGAGGATGATATTAAAAAAGGACTTAGAGAAATAATGGCCAAAAAATGCTCACACTTGCAAAGGACATAGACTTACAAATGCAAGAAGGTGGGAAAATTCCAATCATAATATACACAAGGAAACACATGCCCAGCAACACCATAGTCAAATTTCTGAAAAATAAAACAAATAAAATATTTTTTAAAAAGCAAGCAAGAAATGGCATCATAATTATAGGAAAAACACAATGTGGATAACCATAGAGTTAATATCAGAAACCAGGAAATGAAGAAGAATGTAACTCAAATATTTAAAGTGCTGAAGGAAAAAAAATTGCAAACCAGATGTTTATGTCCAATAAAACTGTCCTTCCATAATAAAAAGGAAATTCAGGTATTCTCAGAAGAAAGAAAAGAAGGAAACCTAAAAGAATTTGTTTCCAACAAACTAATCTTTTAAAAATGGCTCGATGGAACTTTCTCAACTAAAAGAAAGGATAGAAAAGGAATTTCTGGAAATTCAAGAATGTAGAATAAAAGAAACAAAGTGAGAAAAAAGTAAATTAACAAAAATATCTTCCTTTTCTTCTCAAGTTTTCTGCATGAGTTTCAAAAGGCTCAACTGGTATTGCTAGCTTTGAAGATGGAAGAAAGACAGGTAATGTGGCAAGAAAATGAGATTCTTCTCTAGAACCTCCAGAAAGGAATTCCATCCATGACACATGGACTCAACCCAGTGAGACCCAGTACTGATTTCTGAGCTGCAAAACTGAAAGACAATACATTTGTGTTGAAGCAAAAATTATAAAACTTACTGTGGTGCTAAGTGCCTGTAGATATGTATTTAAGATGATTATATTATGAATGCAAAGGTGAAAAGACAGAAACAAACATGAGAATTTTCCTTACCACATCGTGAGTTGTAAAGGAAAGAACCCATTGCTAACATTGACCATTTGTTCCATGCTGAGAGGTAGAAACACTACAAATACTAAGGGAAGGCACCATTCTGCAGGGAGTATGTTCTGCAGAGGAAAAACTAGTAGAAGAGCAAGAATTTAAAGCCATACCTCATATCAATAGGCCCTTCAGTTTAGCCACTAAAGTACATTTTTCAGATTCTTCCATGTACAATCTGCAATCCCACATTACATTTACAGCAGTGCTGGAAGATAGCTATTATTTGTAGACATAAAAATCAGATTATTTAGAAACTTGCTTCTATAGGTATTCTCAAGTCTTCTTTTCAGAAAAAAAATCAGATATCCCTCAAATGATTGGAGTTTGTTTTAGGGAGGAGAAGTTCTTGAAATCTTATGGTCCCCATGGGTCAGTGGAAGACAGAAAAATACATAAAGGCTTGAGTAAAGGAGTTGGCATAAAGAAGACCACTGCTAGTTCCTGAAGCTTTTACATCTCTTTTTATTCTGTTCACTCAAAACAGGGTCTTGAAAAGGGCCTGTGCACATGAAAGACCCCAAAGGTCAAGCCTCATAAGCTTTGTAGATCATTCCAATCTGACAAAAGCCATATGTCCATGTTGTTAGGATGACTGGTTAAATGAGCCTTTAATTGCTCAATAAAAATGTACAAAGGCATATTTCAGTCAAGAAAATGTGAATATAGACCAAGTTTAGCTAAAAAATAAGGTTAGTAAAAATGTGAGATAAATTCAAACTCTTTATGTATCATATCATAAACTTCTGTTTCTGATGATGTCTGCTTACTAAAAGGCACAAAAGATTCTTTTAATAGTATGGAGAGATTTGCTTTGGCAGTTCTAAAGGTGGATAAGTAACAGACTTGAAACAATGGACATTTGTTATTAAAAAATTATATTTGTTAGACTATTAGAGTATAAAAATGTATTCATCATTTAAAATTGTTGCTAGATGTTTATTCAATAACATTGTAAAAAATAACCATGTGATTATCAACTCATGGTCCTGTTACATCTAATGCAGCCAGGGAAGAAAAGACAGCAGCAGATTCTTCCGATAAAATTAGGAACACAGGTAATAGCAGTCTGCCTTGTAAAGTCACTTGAATACACTTAAATAGAAAGAGACATAAACAGAAAGATCATCTGTAGAACCTGCTATAGACTGTGATAAGGAATTTGTCTCTCTACTAAGGGTATTGGAATGCACAATGCATTGAACACATAAACATGGACTGATTTCTGCTCTTTCCTAATGTCCCAGTAAAATTAAAATAAAGAAGCACAGAGGAAATTAATACCCAAGGATGAAGAGAATGAAAGAAGAGATGACAATAAACAACAAAACTGTGGAAATGGAATGACAAATAGAAAAATAAGAGTTTGTGAATGAGCAAAGCTGAAATCAGACATGAAGAGGGGACTGTGGTGCAATTTTCACCAGAACACCTGGAAAATTAGTCCTATTTGAATATTGCAATTTCCTGTGCAAAAATTTACATGTATATACATTTCAGTGCATATTCTGCATCAAAGTTTGATCATTCTTCTTCAACTGAATCCTGTGCATTTCTTGCTATTTGATCTTAGGTATTTTATATTGTTCTCATGAATAAGGTCATTCTCTCATTTCTCTCTCTCTCTCTCTCTGTGTCTCTCTGTCTCTTTCCTTGCATTGTCTTATGCTGTTCCCTGTGAAGTGTATGTCTTAGGGAAAATCACTCGATCACATTAAGATTTTACTTTTTATTTTTATTTTAAATATATATATGTTTTATTATACTTTAATTTCTAGGATAGATGTGCAGAACGTGCAGGTTTGTTATATATGTATACATGTGCCATGTTGGTGTGCTGCACCCATTAACTCATCATTTACATTAGGTATTTCTCCTAATACTATCCCTCCCCCCTCCCTCCACCACACAACAGGCCCCGGTGTGTGATGTTCCCCTTCCTGTGTCCAAGTGTTCTCATTGTTCAATTCCCACCTACGAGTGAGAACGTGTGGTGTTTGGTTTTTTGTCCTTGCGATAGTTTGCTGAGAATGATGGTTTCCAGCTTCATCCATGTCCCTACAAATTTACATGTATATACATTTTAGTGCATATTCTGCATTAAAGTTTGATCATTCTTCTTCAGCTGAATTCTGTGCATTTCTTGCTCTTTGTTCCTAGGTATTTTATATTGTTTTCATGAATAAGGTCATTTTCTCATTTCTCTCTCTCTCTCTCTCTCTCTCTCTCTCACTCTGTCGCTCTCCTTGCATTGCATTATGCTGTTACCTATGAAGTGTATGTCCAAGGGAAAGTCATTCAATCATATTAAGATTTTATTTCTACCTTTGAAAAGTGAACATAAATGCAAAAAATCCTCAAAGTGCTATTGTAAGTACTAGAAGAGCTAAGGCATCTGAAACATCACTATGCAAGGTAGATAGGAATAATCCATAAATCTTTAGCTATGTAGCCATGCATGTGTAGAAATATAATATGTGGTATAGGTAGGAATTGGGTCACTGAAACAAACTTGTTTATTGAATATTGTTTAGCGATAATTTTGTATCCAATCATTTTTAAAATGAATGTTCTATCCCTGTCTCACAGCATGGGCTTCCTCGCAGCATGTGGCAGGTTCCATAAAGAACAGTTTGGAATTGCATGGCATTTCTATGATCTAGACTCAAAAGTCATAAAGTATCACTTCTGATATAATCTATTGGTCATGGCAGTAACGAAGTTCTAACGAAGCTCAAGGGGGTAAAAACAGACCTCACCCCTTCAAGAGAGGATGTCAAGGTACCATTGTAAGAAAACATTAGATGAATGATTCTGTCGTGATCAACTTTTAAAAACACAATGTGCCACACATTCCAATTCCCAAGATGAAAAATATGCATACATGTGGATTTCAATATCAATGAAATAAAATAATAATTTGTGGTTTTTAAGCAGAAGAGAAAACGTCTTTTGTAAGAAATAGGTACAGGTTTATCTGTTTAATAAGTGAGTCATTGATTAATCACTTTAATGAAATTCCTCTTAAATGTATCAGCTTACCGACTTGGTACATCATCAGGAAAATACGAGGGTGATATACATTGCTTTGTATTTCTTATGAGATAAGTTGTGATTGTACTTCTCTATGAACTGCTAGGAAGTGTAACTGAAAGGTCAAGAATACACTCTGACATTGAGATAACAGTGGTGAGCTGAGGCTACAGACACTTGACCTTAGGCTGATGACCAATGCCTTCTACAGCCCCAACCACTCAGGATGGTACACCAGCTCTGGGGCCAGGACACAGGCGACATCTTCATGCAGAATATGAAAGCTGTGTAAGCGGTGTACAATTTATCCTTTCTTAGACAACTCTCTGATCAGACTCCCTCTTGGATTTCTAGAATGTTAATTCCATTGTGATTAGAAGGATCAAATTTAGTCAATTTAAAAGGGCATACACAAATTTTGCCAATGCTAATATGCTACCCAAGAAAAATGCATGTAGCATGGATTAAGGAAGTACATACAGGATCTACATTGACAGAGTTTTGTAACTAGGAAAAAAAGGAATTAATTCCCCTGAGTATCTTTATATAAATGCAAGGGGTAAAGCAGAATACTAGAAGACATTTTAAATGTGATTACGATTTCAAACAAACATGTTTACTCAGGAAAATATATTTTTTCTCACCTCAGCTGTTAAAGTCTCAGGAAAATTTAACCTTGAAAATATTCTAAGAGAAACTTGTTTTTCTTCTCTGAATCTCATTTCCTTTCACTTTCTTGTAAAGAAATGAATGAATGAAGACCAAGTAACCAGTGAAGCACAGTAGGCAAGAACTCAGATCTGAGAACTGACTCCCTTCCATTCCACTCACTACCTTTACATGAACCTAGGCACGCACCTAAATCACCTCATCTACAAAATTAAGATAATAATAATAATCACACCTCCCTAATATGATAGTTCTGAAGACTGAATATCATAGTAAATGCTGAAGAAGTGTTTTCTATTATAATCAGCCTTTGCTAGGATAAATGGAAAGAATATAAATATGCTCAAATAATTGTGAAATATATATTTAGAGAGCATCAACATCAAATAAAAATATAAAGATGACCATCACATAATATATATTATGTTATCATATAATATATAGTATAATATAATATAATATAATATAAAGATGACAATTACATCAGTGTAACCGAAGCTTTTAGACAATTCCAAGCAAATCTGAATTCTCACACACAACCGTATTATTAGAATGGCTGGTTTATGCAATGAGCACAGTAAGTTGAGGAAAATTCTGCTTTCTGTTCCGTTCACAGAACTTCCCAGTCTTCAAAAAGAGAGAGATGTGTGGGTGTGAGAGAGCTAATGCTGGGGTAGGAATGTTACCAAGAGCAGCTGAGGATATTAAGCTCTTCAGGAGAGTGCATCGTGGCCTGAACTATCACCTTCTAGTAAAGATTATGCAAGTGGTTTTATTTGGGATGAGTGTTGAAAGTGGAGGCAACTCAATTTGCTAAAGGACAGTGCCTGAAGGGAGTGAGGATTTTTGAACCACTGAACACCTGTTAGTGACTTAGAAAAGGTTGGGAGTTGTTATGAGAGCTGAATTGTGTTTCCTAAAATTTCATATGTTGAAGACTGTTCCTTCAGGGCCTCAGAATATGAACATGGATATTAGAAGGCAAGTGGAGTGCTGAGGGCTGCCACTCACCTCTAGATGCCCAATCTCCTGCTGCAGTCCTGCTCCTCTCTTCCACCCACCCTCACTCACAGACAGTGTCCCTTTCCACATTTCCATCACTTCTGTTTTTGTTTTGTCTGGTTAGTGCATAGCTGATATTTATGCTTTCCTGATACACTTTACTCATTGCTGACATTGGAGAAAGTCAGGGAAAGGGCCTGAGATAAGGGACTTTTAGGGGCATTTCTGTTGTCTTCCTCTACTCTCCTGCCAAGGACAAATCTTTCTTGTATCAGGCCTGCAGCAACCTAAGTTGGCGACAACATCAGGCAATGTTGGCCTGGCCTCTCTGCTGCTCCTTGTTTCTGACATTCCTTTGTTACCTGATGGTCTAACTTAAGACACCTAGGCAGGATTGGTCATCTCCAGTTCCTATGGAGGAGACCAGAGATAGAAATCTCAATAATATAATGGGACCTGCTGGCACAAGCAAGTACTCTCTGCCTAAGATAAAACTCATGAAGACTAGCTAGAACCAGTCCACTTTCCATAGAGCCAGAAATAATTTCCAATTAATAATATATTCCCCTTTCAAGTATGTCTATATTTTTGCCAGGGAAAATATCAATCTTCCTGGTTCCCTTGCAAGGGCAAAGTTATCTGTAGCAAAGCCTTCTGTATTAGGAAGTCTTCCTGTACTATTACCCCCAACTCTTCAGAAGGGCCAGACCAGACCCTCATCTGCACAGTCCAGGATCCACTCATCCACAATGGTCAAGAGGTCTGTCTTTAGGATTTACTGTCACATACCCTCTCTACCTCCATCATACCTCCAGCCAAGCTGTCCTCAAATTAATACCAGCCATGCACAAAATGTGAACAATTACACAAGACACACAGAAGGTCTAAGTGGTAAATGGCAGCTGACTCACTGACTAACCTGTATATTCCATGAACTGATGAGCAGGGATTTACTAGGTATAACAGAAGAATCAGCAGCTAAAAGAAGTGCTAACAATGCAGGACTCTGAGAGGGCTTTTTGGAAACACAACATTTATTGTGAAATTACACAGACAAGAATGAAACAAAGGTGGTGAGAATTATAGCTTATTACTTAGAAGATTAAATAAAGGAAATCTTACCAAATTCCTGGGGAAAAAAGCCAGATATATAAAGAAAATTACACAAAATGAGCTTGACTCAGAAAATAAAATATGAACAAAGAAGTACCAGAAAGAACGTCAGGGAGGAATGCATATCAGAATATTGTAGAAAAAATACTCTTTGTGGAAGAACAATCTGAGAAAACAGGTAACACAAATACTGACTAAACCAAGAAAACCAATACAATGCAATTGAGGCTTTAATGAGGGTATCTGATTACCTTATTTGAATGTAGAATTGTAGCCACTTAATTATCAGAGGTAGGAATTCAATACAATTCTTAAAAGAAATGAAGCAGAGGGTGAATTTTGTAGAATATTCTAGAGAAAGGGAAGAGCATGAAGGAAGTTTTGGCAACATGATATTGCATGGTTCCTGCAAGGAACTATATATTCAGTTTTCTCAGGTCTAGAAATTTCCTCGTGGTTTGTGTGTCCATTTTGCATTCATAACCCCTAAAGATACTTTAAAATACACAATTTTGGCCTTCCTGTGTTTCACAACAAGAAGCCTTTCCTGACTTGAGTGAGATCCACAGAAGCATGAACAATAGCTGTAGCCTGAGTAGGCTGTGAGGCAGCCTTCTGTCATCTGTGTGCCCAGGAGTGTGCTGTCCTCAAACATCTCCCAGATAGCAGAAACTATCTCTATCGCATCAAAAGTTAAGCTAAATGTGATACTCTCTGTACACACACATCACGAGAGATGGAAATAGGCTATAAAAACAGCCAGAGATATTGATCATCATCACCGCTGGCTGTAGCTTCACTGCCCACACACACATACACAGAAATAAATAGCAAAGTTGAAAGTGGACAATAGTCTTACCAAAAAGATTGAAACTCTAATGACGTCTGAAGTTCAATTATGACACCGTGCTGATTGCTTGGACACAGTTCCTTTAAAACCTTTGTTCAAGTCATAGTTGTACCTTTTAGAAATAAGGTACAAACAACATCCAACCCAACCTGTTCCTCTGGGCTAGAGTCCCAGACAGAAATAAGGGATACACCTGACCTGCAGTAAGGAAAGCAGAACCCAGTCTCTGGGGTGGTGAGGCCCACCCAGTGTGGAGCTCAAAGGTGCCACTGTTCTGCTCCTCTTTATAAAGGGAGCTGCCATGGTTCTCCCAGCACAGAGTTGGGAGTGACTCCAGAGCCTCCAGCAAGATGCTACTGATTCTGCTGTCGGTGGCCCTGCTGGCCCTGAGCTCAGCTCAGAGCTTAAATGAAGGTAAGACAGAAGGAGGAGAAGATGTGGTGACTCTGCTTGGGGCTTAGGAGGTGATAGTTGTAATTATGGGGAAGAGAGGAGAATGAAAACACAGATGGGGCTGCAGAGGTTTCATGCCTAGGATCAGGAGACCTGTTGTGCCCTCATTCCACACCAAGGGCTTCTAATTTATTTAATGTACAATGAAAATCCAATAAAGAATTTGTACCAGGGGAATGAGAAGGTAAGATTTGCATTTATAGAGAGATAGAACTGTGCTGTGAAGGATGCAGTGGTGAATGCAAGGCAGATTCAGGAAAGTCCAGCTGTGAAGATCCTAAACTGATCTCAGTAAGTACACAGGGATGATTGTGGCCTTGCTCTACCTAGTGGATCAGCATTGATGATGGAGATAAACACACATTAGAGATACTGCAGAGACAGAACTGGATAAAACACTTGCCTGTGTCTAACTACAGATATAGAAATATCAGATTCAATCATTGTGATTTTTCTTTCCCCTACACACAGTATTTCAATGTGCTGGGAGTGGTATAGGTAAGATTGTATTGAAACAATTACTTCTGGTTACCGAAATTGAGAAAGCTTGTGAATATAAGCAATGTATTTATAGGAGATGGAGGGCATAAGAATACCAAAATATCACATTGAAGTACCTGGCATGTGTAAACTAAATTAGCATTAAGTCTTGAAGGATGCTAGGGAAGAAAAAAAGGGGCTCTTCTATATTGAGTTCATGGCTGTTGCTCTGTGTGGTAACAACCCTGCCTCCCCTTACACCTTCCTCCCCTTCCAGCAGCTTCACAGATGGTAGCTGATGAGCTAACCTAGGGGATGCATGGGGTGTGGTGAGAAGTCCCCTTTCCCTGTAGAACACCTGTGAATCTTGCAAAATTCGAGATGTAACCTTTCCCATCATCCTGTGCTTCTCTTCTAGATGTCAGCCAGGAAGAATCTCCCTCCGTAATATCAGGTAAATCCCAATTCACTCTCAATCTGTTTTAACTATCTTCTTCTGCTTATGAATGGATCAGTTCTCCAGTGTCTTCTCACCAACATTTTCCTTTAGAAATTGATTAATATTAGTCCCCCTAATAATGCAGGCAATCTTCATGCAACCTTGATTTTGGGGACCATGAGCAGGGCCACCAAATTGAATGGCAGAGATGCTTGGCTTAGATGAAAACGGGAGTGGGTTGACTTCCCTCCTGCCAGGAGTGCCTGCTGGGAGATGACAGACAAATGGCCAGTGTCCTTATTCTGACTCCTCCTTAGACTGAGAGCCCCTCAACTGCTTCCTTCTTCTCCAGCATTCCACTCCAGAGTTCTAGAGCTTCACTGAAAATGCAAAGAAATTAGTGTCTGGGTCTTATTTTTGTGCATTTCCCCATTTAGCTGCGTTACTGTAAAAATTTGCGGCAACTATTCAGTGAATGCCGTGTGTCCACCTCCTCCAGGAAAGCCAGAAGGACGACGCCCACAAGGAGGAAACCAGCCCCAACGTACCCCACCTCCTCCAGGAAAGCCAGAAGGACGACCCCCACAAGGAGGCAACCAGTCCCAAGGTCCCCCACCTCGTCCAGGAAAGCCAGAAGGACCACCCCCACAAGGAGGAAACCAGTCCCAAGGTCCCCCACCTCGTCCGGGAAAGCCAGAAGGACAACCCCCACAAGGAGGAAACCAGTCCCAAGGTCCCCCACCTCGTCCGGGAAAGCCAGAAGGACCACCCCCACAAGGAGGAAACCAGTCCCAAGGTCCCCCGCCTCGTCCGGGAAAGCCAGAAGGACCACCCCCACAAGGAGGAAACCAGTCCCAAGGTCCCCCGCCTCGTCCGGGAAAGCCAGAAGGACCACCCCCACAAGGAGGAAACCAGTCCCAAGGTCCCCCGCCTCATCCGGGAAAGCCAGAAGGACCACCCCCACAAGGAGGAAACCAGTCCCAAGGTCCCCCACCTCGTCCGGGAAAGCCAGAAGGACCACCCCCACAAGGAGGAAACCAGTCCCAAGGTCCCCCACCTCGTCCGGGAAAGCCAGAAGGACCACCCCCACAAGGAGGCAACAAACCTCAAGGTCCCCCACCTCGTCCAGGAAAGCCAGAAGGACCACCCCCACAAGGAGGAAACCAGTCCCAAGGTCCCCCACCTCGTCCAGGAAAGCCAGAAGGACCACCTTCACAAGGAGGCAACAAACCTCAAGGTCCCCCACCTCATCCAGGAAAGCCACAAGGACCACCCCCACAAGAAGGTAACAAACCTCAACGTCCCCCTCCTCCAGGAAGGCCACAAGGACCACCCCCACCAGGAGGCAATCCCCAGCAGCCTCTGCCACCTCCCGCTGGAAAGCCCCAGGGACCACCTCCACCTCCTCAAGGGGGCAGACCACACAGACCTCCCCAGGGACAGCCTCCCCAGTAATCAAGGTTCAATGACAGGTATGATTCCAGTTTATTCTTCACCAAGTGCTCTAAGTGTTACAGTTCTCCAACTTTATTGTGCCAATGAATCAACTAAAAACCCATTGACATTGTATTGTCCTAGAACCCATTTCTAAAGATTTGTATTCAGATACTCTGGAATAGGGTAAGAAGACCCTGTATTTCTAACAAACTCTTTAAGGAACTCTGATGTTGAGAAACAACATACCATACAATCTGTCTTAAATTGTGTTGGCAATGAGGAAGTAGTACCATGTCCATTCTTGGTGCTCTGCTTTCGGTCCACAAACTCAGAGATATTGCATTTAAATTTTTCACCTGAGCACTGTTTGCTCATTCCTGCCTCACGCCAGCCTCTCGAGTCCAGTATTCCTGCCAAATGGTCCCTGATCTTTCAGCAGCTAAATGGTGTCTCATTTTTTACATACTTAGTTTTCAGTAAGTACATGATTAAGCTAACAAAAGATATCTAATGGAATGGAAAAATATGAAGTTAATTTTAAAGGCGTAGCTCATCCTACTCACCTTCCTTCCTTCAAAAAGCTACCACTGTTGACTTTATGGGATCTTCTCTTTGAAATATTTATGTGTGCATAGACATACAGCATTCTTTTACCCTACCACTAATACCATAACTTATATGCAGGTATATATGGTAGTCATTTAAAAATACACTTCTTGAAAATTTCCACATCAGTTTATGAAGCTAAATACATCTCTTCAGTGGTTTTCTGTTTGCTTTTACAATTTTATGCTACTCCATTGTGTGGCTGCACCATGATTTCTTTAATCAATCCCTGTCACTGGATACTGAGGGTGGTTTCATCTTATCACTATTATAAAATAGGTTCTGATTATCATATGTGTAAATATATCCCTGAACAAATTCAACAGCAATGAGTCATAACAACCTAAGGATGATCTTTTCTCTTCATCTTCTCAGCAACAATTTGGAGCACATTGTGTGCAAGGGCATCAAAAGAGTGAACACAGAAAAAATCAGGAAAGAATCACAGGAGGTTGAAGGGATTGGGGAGAGAGGATGGGATCTCATGTACTCTACTGCAGTAACACCAGTGAGGAATTCGACATTTCCTGCCATGTCAAGTCTGCTCTATGAAATTCCTTGTTTGTTTGTTTCAGGAAGTGAACAAGAAGATGACAGTGATTCAAATGATTCAAATGCCATGACATTGGAAGAAGGTGGTCATAGCTCTACCTTTAATATACCAATAAAATAAACAGCTTACAATTTCTGATTGTGGTGTCTCTTTCTCAGTGTTTGTGAATGTGGAGTGTGAGGACCAAGAACACATTATAAGAACATCTAGGACCCCTTCTCTTTGATGCTTCCAGGGAGATTCCCTCCTCTTTAATCCTAATTTAGCCAGCTGCCATGAAAAATATTTTACTGTTTATCTCCTTCCCTGACTTCTATTTTTTTCTTTTTCTGAAATGGAGTCTTGCTCTATCACCTAGGTTGGAGTGCAGTGGCATAATCTTGGCTCACTACAACCTGCATCTCCTGGATTCAAGCTATTCTCCTACCTCACCCTTCACAGTAGCTGGGATTACAGGATCCCACCATCATTCCTGGGTAATTTTTGTAATTTTATGTGAGATGGGGTTTCACTCTGTTGGCCAGACTAGGCTAGAACTTCTGACTTCAGGTCATCTGCTTGCCTCGGCCTCCAAATATGTTGGGATTACAGGAGTCAGCCACCATGCCTGGCCCTTCTCTGGCTTCTACAGCACAAATTGAAATTTTAAAATTATTTTCAGATTGTTTACTGATATTCCAGTAATTTTAAGGACAAAAAACACAACAAATGGAAAATAAGTCATAGAAACTAAAAGAAATCCCTATAATTTCTAAGAAACTGAGTTTGGTTTCAAGTGAATGAATATGGGTCTGTGCTTCTTATCCCTAGAACCCTCTCTATCCCATTGACCCTATTTTAACAGTGATCACTTCTCTCCCTCCCTATGTTCCTCACCTTTCTTTAATGAAACCTGAATGGATTTCATCAAGAAGTCAGCATGACTTTTAGGAGCAAAGAACTGGGACACTCTCAGATTTTAGTTAAGACATAACTCTTTCTTGCTAGCTCTGAACTCTTAAAAAGCTACTTGGTCTCTCAGAGCGTCAATTTCCTTATCTACAATGAGAAGAATCATAACAACTACCTTAGAGTATGGAGACTATTCAGATAACATACATACCAAAAACCTTGCAGAGATTGGCATGTCTGCTTCTCAAGCAAGGAAGGTTCAATATTAGAAAACTGCCCCTGTGCCCACCGATAGCCCAGATAATTCACTATGAATTTCAGAAAAATTGGAATAGAAGGATCTTGCCATAATCACCACCAAGTTGAGCAACCCACATTCAGTTCAATCCCAGTTCTCTGGCTTCTCTCCTATTACTGTAGTTGAAGCCTCCCTACCCCTATCTCTTACCTACCCTCATGACTCTGAACCACATTACCCAATCAAGGATTTTGCTTCTGCATGTGACCCTTTTGTCTCCTGATTCTTACATCTATGCTCTATGGGATTACTTCAATCAGCAAAAACCTGCTGAAACATCACCCATTTCTACAGAGGTTTTGCTAAGACTCTTAGTGCTTCTTTCCTACCATATTATTTGTCTGCCATTTGTATTGCAAAAGTTCTTGAAACGTATGTATGTGATTATTTCCCCATCCCCTCCCTTCCATTTTTTTTTAAAACACACATTAAAGATGCTTTTGTTCTTTCCACTCCAAGTCTGTCAAGGTCATCTACTGCCTCCATTCTACTCATTTCAGGAATCAATTCTCAGTCATCCATCTCCTGTGACCCCTCAGCAGTTTAACACCATTGATCCTACCCTTCTTTGGGGAACACTCTATCAGTCTTTCCTGGAACCTCCTGTTCTCTTCCCTGTTTTCTTCTACCTCTGTCTCTCCCTCCTACAACTACAGAATTACTCCTCTTCCAACTCTATTTGCTCTTGGTAAATTATTCTCTAATTAATTAAGGAAACTAGGATTTATTCTAGACTCTTTTCCTCTTACATCACATTACATCTAGTCAAATCAACTATGTTATCATTGTGAAGTTCAAGCTTCAAAATAATTTCTGACTGCAGCCAGTTTCATCACTTTCATATCTATCAGCCCATCTAAGCAAGCCTCACCTGCAGTTTACACCAAATAGTTCTATTTATTTCCCAACAATCAATTACCCACCTTGGCCATTTAAAAATTATATTACTTTTCTATGTTTTCCAGTTGATGGCCACCACTTTTACTCTCTAAGAACAAGATGCTAATTTTCAACTATCCTAAAGTCCTATGTATTGAGCCCTAACTATCTCTGGAATTGGTGGCTGCTCTATACCTAATTCATTCTGCTATGGCCACACTGGTCATTGCCTCTTCTTTTTAATGGTGAGGATGGGGGAGCAGTATGACTAGAGTTTCTGTTATTTTTTAAAAATTTTATTTGCACAAATGTATGTATTACAAGTTCAGTTTTGTTACATAGATTACATAGTGCATAAGTCACAGCATTAAGGTATTCATTATTCAAATAACAAACACTGTATTTATTAATTAATATCCCAATATTCAACCCCTCTGCCTTCCACTTCCAAGTCTTCATTGTGTATTATTTCACTCTCTTCATCTGTGCATACACATTCTTTAGCATCCGCTTATGAGTGAGAACATGTTATATTTCATTTCCTGTATCTAGCCTGTTTTGCTTAAGAAAATGACCCCCAGTTCCATCCATATTGCCACAATATATGTGATTTCATTCTCTCATTATGAGTGAGTGGTATGGCATTGGGTATATATAATTACATTTTTAACCCAATCATTCATTAATGGACACTTTGGTTGATTCAATATCTTTGTTCCCATGAATGTTGCTACAATAAACATACAGATAAAGGTATGTATTTGTTACACTGACTACTTTTCCTTTGGGAAGATACCCAGAAGTAGGGTTGCTCAATGCAAATGTAGTTCTAGTTTTAGTTCTTTGAGAAATCACAGTTCTCCACAGAAGCTGTACTAATTTACATTCCCACCAAGTGTGTATAAGAGTTCTTCTTTCTCCATATCCTTGCCAACATCTCTTCAGTTTTCACCCTTTTAATCATAGTCATTCTGACTGAGGTAAGATGATATCTCATTACGGTTTTCTTTTCTTTTCTTTTTTATTATACTTTAAGTTCTGGGATACACGTGCAGAAGGTGCAGGTTTGTTACATAGGTATACATGTGCCATGGTGGTTTGCTTCATCCATCAACCCATCATCTAGGTTTTAAGCCCCGTGTGCAATAGGTATTTCCCCTAATGCTATCCTTCCCCATGCCTCCTGCCCCCTGAAAGTCCCTGGTGTGTGATGTTCCCCTCCCTGTGTCCCTGTGTTCTCATTGTTCAACTCTCACTTATGAGTGAGAACATGTGGTGTTTGGTTTTCTGTTCCTGTGTTAGTTTGCTGAGAATGATGGTTTCCAGCTTCATCCAAGTCCCTGCAAAGAACATGACCTCATCCTTTTTTATGGCTGCATAGTATTCCATAGTGTATATGTGCCACATTTTTTTAATCCAGTCTATCACTGATGGGCATTTGGGTTGGTTGCAAGTCTTTGGTCTTGTAAATAGCATGGCAATAAATATATGTGTGCATGTGTCTTTATAGTAGAGAGATTTATAATTGTTTGGGTATATACCCAGTAATGGGATTGCTGGGTCAAATGATATTTCTGATTCTAGATCCTTTAGGAATTGCCACACTGTCTTCCACAATGGTTGAACTAATTTACACTCCCACCAGCAGTGTAAAACTGTTCCTATTTCTCCACATTCTCTCAAGCATCTGTTGTTTTCTGACTTTCTTTTTTTTTTTTTTTTTTGGAGACAGAGTCTGGCTCTGTCACCAGACTGGAGTGCAGTGGCCTGATCTCAGCTCACTGCAACCTGCACCTCCTGGGTTCAAGTGATTCTCCTGCCTCAGCCTCCTGAGTAGGTGGGATTACAGGTGCATGCCACCATGCCTGGCTAGTTTTTGAATTTTTTCTTTTTTCTGGACAGAGTTTTGTTCTTTTTTGCCCAGGCTGGAGTGTAATGGCATGATCTTGGCTCACTGCAACCTCTGCCTCCTGGGTTCCAGCGATACTCAGCCTCCTGAGTAGCTGCAATTACAGACATGCACCACCATGCCTGGCTAGTTTTGTATTTTTAGTAGAGACAGGGTTTCACCATGTGGGTCAGGCTGGTCTCAAACTCCTAACTTCACCTAACTCCACCCACTTTGGCCTACCAAAATGCTGGGATTACAGGCATGAGCCACTGTACCCGGCCTGTTTCCTGACTTTTTAATAATCACCATTCTAACTAGCATGAGATGGTGTCTCATTGTGGTTTTGATTTGCATTTCTGTAATAATCAGTGATGATGAGCTCTTTTTCATGTTTGTTGGCCACATAAATGTCTTCTTTTGAGACATGTCTGTTCATATCCTTCACCCACTTTTTGATATGGTTGTTTGTCATTTTCTTGTAAATTTGTTTAAGTTCCTTGTAGATTCTGTAAATCAGACTTTGTCAGATGGATAGACTGCAAAATTTTTCTCCCATTCTGTTGGTTCCCTGTTCACTGTAATGATAGTGTCTTTTACTGTACAGAAACTCTTTAGTTAATTAAATCCCCTTTGTCAATTTTGGCTTTTCTTGCAATTGCTTTTGGTGTTTTAGTCATGAAGTTTTTGTCCATGCCCATGTCCTGAATGGTATTGTCTAGGTGTTCTTCCAGGGTTTTTATGGTTTTTGGTCTGACGTTTAAGTCTTTAATCCATCTTGAGTTAATTTTTGTATAAGGTGTAAGGAAGGGGTCCAGTTTCAGTTTTCTGCATATGGCTAGTCAGTTTTCCATACACCATTTATTAAACAGGGAATCCATTCCCCATTGCTAGTTTTTGTCAGGTTTGTCAAAGAGCAGATGGTTGTAGATGTGTGGCGTGATTTCTGAGGCCTCTGTTCTGTTCCATTGGTCTATATATCTGTTTTGGTACCAGTACCATGCTGTTTTGGTTATTGTAGCCTTCTAGTATAGTTGAAATCAGGTAGCATGATGCCTCTAGCTTTGTTCTTTTTGCTTAGTATTGTCTTGGCTATATGGGCTCTTTTTGGTTCCATATGAAAATTTAAAGTAGTTTTTTCTAATTCTCTGAAGAAAGTCAATGGTAGTTTGATGGGAATAGTGTTGAATCTATAAATTACATTGGGCAGTATGGCCATTTTCACGATATTGATTCTTCCTATCCATGAGCATGGAATGTTTTTCCATTTGTTTCTGTCCTCTCTTACTTCCTTGAGCAGTGTTTTGTAGTTCTCCTTGTAGAGGTCCTTCACGTCCCTTGTAACTTGTATTCCTAGGTATTTTATTTTTTGTATCAACTGTGAATGGGAGTTCCCTCATGATTTGGCTCTCGGCTTGTCTGTTATTGGTGTATAGGAATGCTTGTGATTTTTGCACATGGATTTTGTATCCTAGGACTTTGCTGAAGTTGCTTATTAGCTTAAGGCGTTTTGGGGCTGAGACCATGGGGTTTTCTAAACATACAATCATGTCATCTGCAAACAGATTCAATTAGACTTCCTCTCTTTCTATTTGAATACCCTTATTTCTTTCTCTTGCCTAATTGCCTGGCCAGAACTTCCAATATTATGTTGAAGAGGAGTGGAGAGAAAGGGTATTCTTGTCTTGTGCCAGTTTTCAAAGAGAATGCTACCAGTTTTGCCCATTCTGTATGATATTTGCTATGCGTTTTTCATAAGTAATTCTTAATATTTTGAGATGTGTTCCATCAATACTTAGTTTATTGAGTATTTTTAGAATGAAGAGGTGTTGAATTTCATCAAAGGCCTTTTCTGCATCTATTGAGATAATCATTTGGTTTTTGTCATTTGTTCTGTTTATGTGATGGGTTGTTTATTGATTTCTGTTTGTTGCACCAGCCTTGCATCCCAGGGATGAAGTTGACTTGATCATGGTGGATAAGCTTTTTGATGTGCTGCTGGATTCAGTTTGCCAGTATTTTATTGAGGATTTTTGCACTGATGTTCATCAGGGATATTGGCCTAAAATTTTCTTTTTTTGTTGTGTCTCTTCTAGGTTTTGGTATTAGGATGATGCTGGCCTCATAAAATGAGTTAGGAAGGAGTACTTCTTTTTCTATTGTTTGGAATAGTTTCAGAAGGAATGGTACCAGCAGCTCTTTGTACCTCTGGTATAATTCGGCTGTGAATCCATCTGGTCCTGGGCTTTTTTTTTGTTTGTTTGTATGTTATTAATTACTCCTTCAATTTCAGAACTTGCTATTGGTCTATTCAGGGATTTGACTTCTTCCTGGCTTAGTCCTGGGAGGGTGAATGTGTCCAGGAATTTATCCATTTCTTCTAGATTTTCTAGTTTATTTGTGTAGAGGTGTTTATGGTATTCTCTGATGATAGTTTGTATTTCAGTGGGACAGTGGTAATATCCCCTTTATCTTTTTTTGTGTCTATTTGATTCTTCTCTCTTTTCTTCTTTATTAGTCTGGCTAGTGCTCTATTTATTTTGTTAATCTTTTCAAAAAACCAGCTCCTGGATTCATTGATTTTTTGAAGAGTTTTTCGTGTCTCTATCTCCTTCAGTTCTGCTCTGATCTTAGTTATTTCTTGTCTTCTGCTAGCTTTTGAATTTATTTGCTCTTGCTTCTCTAGCTCTTTTAATTGTGATATTACGGTGTCAATTTTTTATCATTCCTGCTTTCTCTTGTGGGCATTTAGAGCTATAAATTTCCATCTAAACACGGTTTTAACTGTGTCCCAGAGATTCTAGTACATTGTGTCTTTGTTCTCATTGGTTTCAAATAACTTATTTATTTCTGCCTTAATTCTGGAACTGCTTGCTTAGTTTCCATGTAGTCATGTGTTTTTGAATGAGTTTCCTAACCCTGAGTTCTAATTTGATTGCACTGTGGTCTGAGAGACTCTTTGTTATGATTTCCGTTCTTTTGCATTTGCTTAGGAGGTTTTACTTCCAGTTATGTGGTCAATTTTAGAATAAGTGTGATGATGTGCTGAGAAGAATATATATTCTGTTGATTTTGGGTGGAGAGTCAGGTAGTTATCTGTTACGTCCACTTGGTCCAGAGCTGAGTTTAAGTCCTGAATATCCTTGTTAATTTTCTGTGTCTTTTATGTGTCTAATATTGACAGTGGGGTGTTAAAGTCTTCCACTATTATTGTGTGTGAGTTTAAGTCTCTTTGTAAGTCTCTACGAGCTTGCTTCATGCATCTGGGTGCTCCTGTATGGGGTGTGTATATATTTGACAGTTAGCTCTTCTTGTTGCATTGATCTTTTTACCATTATGCCCTTCTTTGTTTCTTTTGACCTTTGTTGGTTTAAAGTCTGTTTTATCAAGACTAGGATTGCAACTCCTGCTTTTTTTTGCTTTCCATTTGCTTTGTAAATATTCCTCCATCCCTTTATTTTGAGCCTATGTGCATCTTTGCACACGAGATGGGTCTCCTCAGTACAGCACACTGATGGGTCTTGACTCTTTATCCAATTTGCCAGTCTGTGTCTTTTAATTGGGGCATTTAGTCCATTTACATTTAAGGTTAATATTGTTATGTGTGAATTTGATTCTGTCATTATGATGCTAGCTGATTATTTTGCCCATTAGCTGATGGGGTTTCTTCATTATGTCGGTGGTCTTTACAATTTGGTATGTTTTTGTAGTTGTTGGTACCAGTTTTTCCTTTTCATGTTTAGTGCTTCCTTCAGGAGCTCTTGTAAGGCAGGCCTGGTGGTGACAAAATCTTTCAGCATTTGCTTGTCTGTAAAGGATTTTATTTCTTCTTCCCTTATGAAGCTTAGTTTGGCTGGATATAAAATTTTGGGTTGAAAATTCTTCTCTTTAAGAATTTTGAATATTGGCCCCCACTCTCTTCTGGCTTACAGGGTTTCTGCAGAGAGATCCACTGTTAGTCTAATGGGCTTCCCTTTGTGGGTAACCCGACCTTTCTCTCTGCTTACCCTTAACATTTTTTCCTTCATTTCAGCCTTGGTGAATCTGATGATTATATGTTTTGGGGTTGCTCTTCTCGAGGAGTATCTTTGAGGTGTTCTCTGTATTTCTTGAATTTGAATGTTGGCCTGTCTTGCTTGGTTGGGGAATTTCTCCTGGATAATATCCTGCAGAGTGTTTTCCAACTTGGTTCCATTCTCCCCGTCACTTTCAGGTACACCAATCAAATGTAGGTTTGGTCTTTTCACATAGTCCCATATTTCTTGGAAGCTTTTTCATTCCTTTTCATTCTTTTTTCTCTAATCTTGTTTTCACATTTTATTTCTTTAGGTTGACCTTCAATCTCTGATATCCTTTCTTCTGCTTGTTCAATTCAGCTATTGGTACTTGTGTATGCTTCACAAAGTTCTTGTGCTGTGTTTTTCAGCTCCATCAGGTCATTTATGTTTTTCTCTAAACTAGCTATTCTAGTTAGCCATTAGTCTAACCTTTTTTCAAGGTTCTTAGCTTCCTAGCATTGGGTTAGAACATGCTCCTTTAGCTCAGATGAGTTTTTATTACCCACCTTCTGAAGCCTACTTCTGTCAATTTGTCAAACTCATTCTCTGTCCAGTTTTGTTCCCTTGCTGTCAAGGAGTTATGATCATTTGGAGGAGAAGAGGCATTCTGGTTTTTGCAATTTTCAGGCTTTTTGCACTGGTTTCTCCCCATCATCGTGGATTTATCTATGAAGATTTATCAAAGACCAAAGTCTTTGATGTTGGTGACTTTCGGATGGGGTTTTGGTGAGGATGACTTTTTTGTTGATGTTAATACTGTTCCTTTCTGTTTGTTAGTTTTCCTTCTAACAGTTAGGTCCCTCTGCTGCAGGTCTGCTGGAGTTTGCTGGAGGTCCGCTCTAGACCCTACTTGTCTGGGTATCACCAGCAGAGGCTGAAAAACAGCAAAAATTGCTACCTGTTCCTTCCTCTAGAAGCTTTGTCCCAGAGGGGCACCCAGCGGATGCCAGCCAGAACTCTCCTGTATAAGGTGTCTGTTGACCCCTGCTGGGAGGTGTCACCCAGTCATGAGCCACGGGGGTCAGGGACCTACTTGAGGAGGCAGTCTGTCCTTCTGCAGAGCTCGAGCACTGAGCTGGGAGATCGGCTGCCAGGCAGGAACATTTAAGTCTGCTGAAGCTGTGCCCACAGCTGCCCCTTCCCCCAGGTACTCTGTCCCAGGGAGATGGGACTTTGATCTGTAAGGCCCCGAGTGGGTCTGCGGCCTTTCTTTCAGAGATGCACTGCCCGGAGAGGAGGAATCTAGAGAGACAGTCTGGCTACAGTGGCTTTGCCAAGCTGCAGTGGGCTCCACCCAGTTCAAACTTCCCGGTGGCTTTATTTATGCTGTGAGGGGAAAACTGCCTACTGAAGCCTCAGTAATGGTGGGCACCTTTCCTCCCACCAAGCTGGAGTGTCCCAGGTGGACTTCAGACTGCTGTGCTGGCAGCAAGAATTTCAAGCCAGTAGATCTTAGCTTTCTGGGCTCTGTGGGAGTGGGAATCACTGAGCTAGACCACTTGGCTCCCTGGCTTCAACTCCCTTTCCAGGGGAGTGAACTGTTCTGTCTTGCTGGCATTCCAGGTGCCCTTGGGGTTAGAAAGGAAACTCCTGCAGCTAGCTTGGAGTCTGCCCAAATGGCCACCCAGTTTTGTGCTTGAAACCCAGGGCCCTGGTCGCATAGGCACCGGAGGGAATCTCCTGGTCTGTGGGTTGTGAAGACCGTGGAAAAAGCGTAGTATCTGGGCTGGAATGCACTGTTCCTCATGGCACAGTCTGTCATGGCTTCCCTTTGCTAGGGGAGGGAGTTTCCCAACTCCTTGCACTTCCGGAGTGAGGCGACACCCTACCTTGCTTCTGCTTGTCCTCCATGGGCTGCACCCACTATCTAACCAGTCCCAGTGAGATGAGCTGGGTAGCTCAGTTGGAAATGCAGAAATCAACTGCCTTCTGCATTGATCTTGCTAGGAGCTGCAGACCAGAGCTGTTACTACATCATGACGCTTTTTTAAAGTGGAATCTTCAAGATCTTTCTTATCATTAAGATTTAATTAGATATAAGTTGATGTAGGTCTTTTTCATTTATTATGTTGGGCACTCTGTATTTCAAGAAGATCTGCTTTCCCAGGCCCTGCAGTTTAGAGGGGGCTCCACAAAAATACCAAAATCAAAGGCATTGTTCATTCTTTTTATTCTCATTAGTAAGTATTTTTAAAGTTCATAAATAAAACAGAAATTATAGGAGTGAGCAGGGGCTGAGCTATATGCTCTTCCAGGCCTGACGAGGCAGGTGAAGAATTTGAAAAGATAATAAATTTACTGTGTCTGCTATGTGGCACCCAAGAAAAAAATGGATGCTTCTCTGTAAAGAGAGCCAACTGAATAGGACCAAGTAGTGCATTATCAAATCCTGGATAAGTACCTCCACACACACTACTAAAACAAATTGGAGAAAAGTAAGATTACCTATCCTCTCTGTGGGAGGAAAACATGGGCATCCCAAAGATGCTCATATTCTAATGAGTATATTTTGTGTAAAGATGAAAAGAAAGACAGGTCTGGAGAATCCTGTGTAAATGTGTTTATGATTTAGAAAGAAACTTATTTATTCAGAAAAGAGTTTTTTATTACCTCACCTTTAAGATCTCAGGAGAAGTTTTACCTTACACATTTCCTATCACTTGTACCTGAGTTTATATTCTGGACCTGGTTTCTTCTGACTTTTTTGGAAGTAAATAAATATATAAGTAAATAGCAAGAAAGTAGTGGAGTACAGTAAGCAAGAACATAGGCTCTGAAGACTGACAGCCATCTATACCACTTATTACCATTCTAACAACTTTGGCATGTGCCTCAGTCAGCTCACCTATAAAACTGAGATAGTAGTAAACATTATTCTTACCTAATAAGCTGATTCTGAAGATTAAATGACATACAGTAAATGCTTAAGAAATATTTTTATTATAATCAGTCATGGCTACAATGTGTTCATTGAATATGAATATGAATACCCTAAAATAATTGTGAAATATGTGTTTATAAGAGAAAAGATAATAATAAACTATATGAACCAATATGGTAATTGTGTAGTCAGGATTTATAGAAAAATCTATGCAAATTTGAATTTTTTGAGACATTTTTGTTTCATTGCTAATTATATTAAAATAATACTTAGTTGATTCAATGGGCACAAGGATTCCTCCAATTCCCATGAACTATTCCCAGACCACAGGACTCAATGCAATTCACTCAATCACATCACAAGTCCATCCACTCTCTTCATGTTCATCTCTCCTGGTAGACAACTCTCTTGCGTTGCAGACAAGCTAGTTCAAGATGAAGTTGAGGAAGATTCTGCTTTCTGTCCTACTCAAAGAATCTCCCATTTTTTAAGAAAGAGAAAGTCATGTGGGTATGAAGAAGCTGACATATGAAATTCAAATCTGATTACCAGTGTAATAAAAACCTGTGGTGGGTGTGAAGCACAAATGGTATATGATCTAATTTTCATCTGTAAAAGGTCACTCTGGCTATTGTGGGGAGAACTGATATGGAATGTAACAAGAATGTTATCAAGACCTGGTTAAGGTTCTTAACATCCTCCTTGAGAGAGAATCATGGCATGAACTACAGCTCTGTAGTAGGGAATATGCAAGTGTTCATATTGCGAGGGATTTAGAGGTGAGCCCACTGGATTTGCTCATGGACCAGGCTTCGGTGAGAGAAAGGCAAGCGTGATTCCAATATATTTGAACAAAAAAAAGAAACTGCTGTCGTGGACTGAGAAGACACTGGGTAGTGCTATGGGCTGAATTCTGTTTCCCCTTATTTATATGATGAAAGACTTCACTCCTAGTTTCTCAGAATATGACCATATTTGAAGGCAAGAACAGAAATGTGTGGATTAACTTAAAATGAGGCTGTTATGGGGGCACATAGTCCCATCTGCTAGGTGTCCTTATAAGAAGAAGACATTTGCATACACAGAGAGACACCAAATATCCACATGCACCAAGGCAGCTCCTTTTTTGAGGACATAGCAAGAAGGCAGATGTCTAGAGGCTAAGGAAACACTGAACCTGTTGACACCATGATCTCAATGAAACTGTGAAAAAATGAATTTCTGTTGTTTAAGACACTACTCTGTGGTAATTGCTTAGGTAAGTAACAAAATATTTTGAGGGAGAGAGGTTTTAGGATGTTGAAATCAAGAACATGACTTGAGACATGTTAAATTTGCTGCCATTTTAGATGGCAAGTGAATTACTTAGGGCTTTGACTCATCTCCAGGTGCCTGAGCTGCTGCTAGAGTATGGTTGTTGCTTTACCCACCCTATCTCTGTCTTTCAAATCTTTGGCAAACTCCATTCTGATTGTTTCCCATGAGTTTATAGCTGGTATTTATTCTTTCCTGATACACCCATCTCTTTCACCCTTTGCAAGCATTGGAGAAGGTCAGGAAAATGCCTGAACGGATTGATATTTAAAAGCATCTCCTGCTGTCTTCCTGTATTCATCGGACAGGAAGAGCAAGGCACGTCTGCCCTGCATTCTCCTTTGTTCCTTCTCTCTGACCTTCCTTTCCTACTTGAAGGGCTACCATAAGCTATGTAGGCTGGACTGCACATCTCTGGACTGCACATCTATCTGGAGATAGTATTTGTGGCTGGCAGAATTTTTTTTTCTTTGAACACTTTAAATATATTATTTCATATCTCCTAGACTGTACAGTTTCTTCTGTGAAAATCACTCCTAATATGATGAGGCTTCCCTAATATATGTCTTGATGCTTTTATCTTACTCTTTTTAGAATTTTCTCTTTGGTTTTGATCTTGACATTTTGACTCTTATGTGCCTTGGAGAAGGCCTTTTGGGGTTGTGTCAATTTGAATATGTTTGAGGTCCTGTATTTGGGTGTCCCAGTCTCTTGCTAGATTTGACAAATTTTTTAGCTACTATTTTGTTTAAAAATTTTTTCCATGCTCTTACTCATTTCTTCTCCTTCTGGAATACTCAAAATCAAACTTCTGGTCGCTATATCATGTCTTAGGAAACATCAGCTAAATTGTGGATACCATTTTAAGGGACCGAAATTTTGGTTCATTTATCACAAGAAATTGAAAATTTCAGAAAGTCAGGAGGGAGATTGGTCAGAGAGTTGTATATCAAGAGATAAATTTGTATATCACATGGATAGCTATTAGGTTTCTGCCTGAGAGCATCTCCAATGTCCTGGCCCCAGAGTTGGTGTTACTTTTTCAGTGGTTGGGGCCGTAGACAGAGGCAATATGAGTAGTGTAAAGTCAAGTGTTTTTAGCCTTAGTTTACCACTGTTTTAGCGATATCTGGGAGAAATACAATCACAACTTTTTAAATATGTTATACAAAGCAACAGAAATCTTCCTCATATTGTTATAACATTATACAGATATCTTTAAAAGAGGGATTATTTTCAAGTGATTAATGACAGACTTACTTTTCTTTTAAGTGAACACATAGATTTTCTCTCAGAACAGGGTCTTCTCTTCTGCTTAATGACATTGATAAGAAATTCTACCATACATTTCTTACCACAGTTGTTGATTTTTAGATGCACGTGTTTACATTTTTAACATCTTGGAATTTGCAATGTGTGGCAGATCATACCTTCCAAAAACGTCCAAAAGATCATCTCTCACCTCATGCTTTCTGATGACAATGGGACCTTGATATCTTCCCTGCAACTGGTGACATCGGATTCCTCCCACTTGAACCTCAGTGGACCATTGTAACTGCTTTGACCAATAGAGTATGTAAGAAGTGATGCTTAGTAACTTTTGAGTCTAGATCCTAAAAATGCCATATAATTCTAACCTGTTCTCTCAGGAACCTGTCCACATGTCGTGAGGAAGCCCATGCTGTGAGAGAGAGATCTAAAATCAGTTTGCAAACTAATTGGAAATTGAATTATCCCCAAACAACATTTAATGACCAAGTTTTAGTCATTGGTTGTATTGCTTCAGAATCATACAATAAATTTCCATACAGATATGGGTAAATCGCTAAAGATGTAACAACCATTCCATTATACTTAGAATAGTAATACCTGTTTTATATCATTTGCCCTTTTGTCCTTACAATAGCCCTTTGATAATTTCTTGCATTATGTTTACTTCTCAGATGAAGGAACAAAGCTCAATATGATTGACTGACATTTTCTGTCATATAGCTGACAAGTATTAATCTGCTTGGCTAAATTTATTACTGAGTAATTAATTTTTTGTAGCTTTGTAGAGGGAATTGAATATTTGATTTTTCTTTCATGCTATTTTATTGTTGTTATATGCTACTAATTTTTGCATATTGATAATTTATCCTTCAATGTTAGTGAACTTGTTTTTTAGTTCTAAGTGTTTGTGGTGGAGTTTAGATTTTTCTTTTTTTATGTTAACAATAATTTTTTAACTCTTATTTTAAGTTCAGGGGTACAAGTGCACATTTGTTACATAGGTAAACTTCTGATGGGGGTATGTTGCACAGATTATTTCCTCACCCAGGTATTAAGCCTAGTAACATTAGTTATTTTTCTTGATCATCTTCCTCCTTCCACCCTGCACCCTCCAAAAGCCTCAGTGTGTGTTTCCAAAATATAAGAGTATGACACAAAAAAATTCTGTGTTCATGGATAGGAAGAATCAATATCATAAAAATGACCATATAACCCAATTAATTTACAGATGCTGGCAAGGATGCAGAAAAATCTGAACATGTTTACACTGTTGGTGGGAGTATAAATTAGTTCAACCATTGTGGAAGAGAGTGTGGCAATTCCTCAAGAATTCAGAACCAGAAATACCATTTGACACAGCAATCTCATTACTGGGTATATACCAAAGCAATTATAAATCATTCTACTGTAAAGACACATGAACACATATGTTTATTGTGGCACTATTTACAATAGCAAAGACTTGGAACCAACCCAAATGCCCATCAATGATAGATTGGATAAAGAAAATGTGGCACATATACACCATGGAATACTATGCAGCCATAAAAAAGAATGAGCTCATGTCCTTTGCAGGGACATAGATGAAGCTGGAAACCATTATCCTCAGCAAACTAACACAGGAACAGAAAACCAAACACCGCATATTCTCACTCACAAGTGGGACTTGAACAATGAGAACACAGGGACACAGGGAGGGGAACATCACACACCAGGGCCTATCAGGAGGTGGGGGGAAGGGGAGGGAGAGGCATTGTAACACGTCATCTAGGTTACAAGCCCAGCATGCATTAGGACAAATACCTAATGCATACTGGGCTTGTAACCTAGATGATGTGTTGATGGGAGCAGCAAACCACCATGGCATATGTGTACCTGTGTAACAAACCTGCGTGTTCAGCACATATATCACAGAACTTAAAGTAAAAAAAAAAAAAAAGGAAATGTTGTCACCACAAAAAAAGGGTAAGTTGGAATATGATAGGTTAGCTTGATTGAATCTTTCTTAATGTATACAAATATTAAGACACCACATTGTGAAAAAAGTTGAATACATGATTGGCCCAAACAATATGGAATAACCAAGTTTTCTTTGGTGATTGGATTGTTATCTATATCATATTTTCAATTTCTGTACATGCATGGCTATGTAGCTAAAGATTTATTGATTGTCCCTTTCTACCTATTATAGTGATGTTTCTGATGCCTTTGCTCTTTTAGTCTTTACAATAGTGTTTGAGGATTTCTTGCATTTATGTTCGCTTTTCAGAGGATGAAAAATCTTAATATCATTGACTGAGTTTCCCAAAGCCATAAGTTTATAGGTATCAGCATAGAAAATACAATAGAGAGAGAGCGAGAATATGAGAGAATGTCCTTATTCATTAGAACAGCTTAAAATTCCTAGGATCCAATAACAATAAATGGACAGGATTCAGTTGAAGAATGATTAAACATTGATACAGAATATAAACTAAAATGTGTGTACATGTAAATTTCTGCATAGGAAAATGCAACATTCAAATAGAGCCAATTTTCCAGGTGTTCCTGTGTAAATTGATTGCACCACTGTCCTTTCTTCCTGTCTGGTTTCGGCAATGTTGATTGACAAACTCAGTTAATTGTCATCATTTCAGTTCTACAGTTTTGTCTACATTTATTTTATACTGTCGTCTCCTCTTTTGTTTTCCTTGTCCTTGGGTATTAATTTCCTTTTTGATTCTTTATTATAAGTTTATTGGGATATTGGGAAAGAGCAGAAATCAGTACATGTGTTCAATGAAGTGTGTGTTAACGCCCTTAGGATAAAGAAACAAATTCCTTATTATAGTTTAAAACAGATACTACAAATTGTCCTATTGTTTATTTCTCTTTCTTTGTAACTGTATTCAAATTACTTTACAACAAACTATTATTACCTGTATTCCTAATTTTAACAGGAGAATCTGCTGTCCTCTCTTCAGTGGCTGCATTAAATACAACATGACTATGAGTTCATAATCAGACAGTTAGCTTTCACAAGATTACTGAGTAAACTCAACCTGTCTTTGCAACTCTAGAGACAATTTTAAGTGACAAATACTTTTTCATACTCTAGTAGGCCAATAAATATAGTTTTCTAGAGTAAAAGTACATAGTTTCAAGTCTATCACTTATTCATCTTTAGAACTGCCAAAACAAATCTCCCTGTATCATACAAAAAATTTTTTTGTGCCTTTTAGTAAACAGACATAGACAGAAACACAAGTTTATGATAAGAAACAAAAAGAGTCTAAATGTGTCTTATATTGACACTATGTTATAGCTATACTTAGTTTATACAGCAGTTGTCTTGATTGTCTAAAATGTGCCTTTTTACATTTTATTCAACAGTAAAGGCTTATTTAAATGAGCCTCCAAACAAGACTGACATGTTGCATTTGGTCGGATTTGATTGGTCTATGAAGGTAATGAAGCTTGAACTTTGGGGCCCTCTTCTGCATAGGCCCCTTCCAAGACCCTGTTTAGACTGAACAGAAGAAAAAGGTATTTAAAAGCTTTATGAACTAGGAATGGTCCTCTTTCTGCCTACTCCTTCACACAAGCCCTTTCCATCTTCCACTCACCCATGGGGTCATAAGATTTCAAGACTCTCAGTCCCCTAAACATACTTTAATAGCCTGAGGAATATTTGAGATTTCTTCTGGAAAGAAGGCTTGGGAATACCTATAGGAGCAAATTTCTAAATAATCGGATTCTTACATCCACCAAAATGGCAAAGTATATTCCAGCACTTCTCATGGCAAAGTATATTCCAGCACTTCTCTAAATGCACTGGGGATTGCAGATTGTAGATGGAGGAATCTAGAAATCATATTTTATTGGTGGTCAAAGGCCTACTGAAATGAGGTTGGTTTATGACTTCAAATTCTTGCTCTTCCACTAGTTTCTCCTTTGCAGAACATGCTCCCTCTGGAATGCTGCACTTCTTCAGGATTTGTAGGGTTCTCACTTCAAAGCATGGAGTGAATAGTCAATGTTAGCTGTGTCTTCCTTCGTTTACAATCAGTGGGGGAGTCAGAGAAAATCTCACATTTGACTACAAGAGCAAGGGGCAGCTTCATGGCCCAAATCCATTTGGGCATTTCTGCTTGTGTCCCGGCCACACCCATTTTCACACCATCCAGAGATGATGCTGACTGTGACAATTACCAACACAGGGAGGTTCTTTGATTTTTAAGAGAAAGTGTAATTTCCCTTGAGGCTTACCCTTAAAGGAAGGCATTTATTCACTGATTTCTAGTACATATTACTGCTGTTTATTCTGAAGAGCTCATGACTAGCACACTAGGTACGGCCATAGATTTTTGTATTTTTTCTTTATTCCTGGTCTTTGGTTTTCCTTGGGAAACATTCCAGGAGAGATTTAATAAGTTAAACTCTAAAATTCTGCTCGCATTTTGTATCTTTGTTTCCCAGGCATTATGTTGAGTTAGCTGAGTCCACATTTGGGCAGAAGAGAGAAAATGGTGCTAGCTCATGAGGACATGTCCCATTCACCTGCCACCCTTAGGAACTTCTGAGTATGACTGGACCAAGTGTTTTTACCAAATCCTTCTTGGGGAGTGAATTTACACTCCATTTCTATGTCAGGATATCAGCCCTGTAAAAGGGTCTTGGCAGTTAGGAAAAGGAGGGTTTTGGTGCCACAGATGCAGGGAAATCCTACACTTACTAAGACTATGGGAAGGTGACAACAGAATGCTAGACACGTGGTGAATTATTCTTATTAAAGTGAATCAAAGCATTTCTTAATTCAATACAAACCCAGCACCTCCACAGGAAACAGAGCCCATTCCAGGACTGGTTTGTGATTTTCATCTCGTTCTCCCTGATTATCTTACTAGAGATTTCATACTATTTTCAATGGGGTTATTTTAATGTCCCATAAAAGCATTCCAAACCTAAAAGTTTCCAGTTGCAATTAGTAAAATCTAACATGGAGGTTAAAGACAATCTCTTTTCTCCCTGTTGTTGTTGTTAACTTAGAAAATGAAGCAACTTTTTTATTAGCCCTGAGTGTCCTCCTGCTATCCCCCATTTTCTAAGAAGATTCTGAGCTGTAGGACAAGGCCACCACTAAACGACAGAAGATGGAATAATTGTAGAAATCTAGAGAAGCACAGGATATGTACAAAGGAGGCATAGATCCTGGCTGAGGGGAGTGGATTATTCAAGGATGAGGGAGGGACAATTATTAGCTGTTCTCCATTGAATATGGGCTCAATAATTATTCATTGGAATGAAATTTTGAGAGTGGTTTTTAGTTTATGAGGAAAGATTTGCTTAATTGCCTTGTGTTAATAGCCATGATAATTTTATTCTTCTCTAATTTTATGAACTGACACTAACACATTACAGTGGCCACAAAAAAGCATGAAATGAATGTTTGGAAAGTATATTAGTTTTCCTATTGCTGAAGTAAGTAACACATTACCATAAAGTGAGTAGCTTTGTAGCTCAGAAGTAACGGATGGGTCTCATGGGCTTAAATCCATGTGGAAAGGCTGAGTTTCATGCTAGAGTCTTCAGGGCAGAACCCATTTTCTGGCCCACATTCCCTGGCCCTCTTCCATCTTCAATGCCAGCAATAGCCAGATGAGCCTCCCATCACATCACATCAATCACATCACATCACACCACATCACCCTGGCACTGACTCTTCTGCCTCCCTCCTCAACATTTAGGGATGTTGTGATTACATTGCATGTACTTAGATATTCAGTAAAGTCTCTCTATATTCAGGTCAATTGATTAGCAAACTTAATACCCTTTTGTCATGTAAGTTAACATATACACTGGTTATGGGAATTAGGAAGGGTGTGTCTCTGGGAGACTGTTAATCATCATAGCACACACAGGACAGATATCTTACTCCCCTGGAACTGGTTTGGTTCAGGGCGGGTAAGGAGAGTTACCCAGGCTTCTTCCAGATATTTGCATGCAGATATGAATGAGTTTATGTAAAATTAGTTGTAATGTCAATATTTGTACTTTAAGTATATATCTATACAATAGTGTAAGTCACAAACTGAAATGGCAGAAATTTACTTTCAATTACCATTTTCATTTCACATAGTTGTTAATAATTTGTAGCCATTTTTGTTTATTTTATATTTATACTTGTTTTGTTTGTTTTCTTTCTCCCTATCTTGTGTGGGTTCCTTGAAAAGTTTTTTCGATTCCATTTTAGTTGATCTGCAAAGTTTTTGAGTGTCTTTCTCTATACAGCATTTTTAATGGTTGCTGTGGGTATTACATTACGTATACACAGCTTGTGACAGTCTAGTGGTGTGGGCATTTTACCCTATGGGGTTGAAATATGAAAACTTTACATTCCCGTTATTTACCCACCCCTGTTTGTAATATAATCATCTTAAATATATCTCTACATGCATTTACCACCTCAGCAAGTTTTATAATTTTTGCTTCAACATGACATTATTGTCTTTCAGTTTTGTAGCTCAGGATTCTGAATTGGGTCTCAAGGTTTAGTTTCGTTTTGGGGACTCCAGAGAAGAATCTTATTTTTTGCCTCATTCCCTGGACGTCTTTCCTCTTCAACACTAGCAATAGCCAGTTGAGCCATTTGAAACTCATGCAGAAAACTTGAAAAGAAAAGATGTTTTGTGTTTACTTACTTTTTCCCCAATTTCTTTTTCTTTGTTTTTCTTTTCTTTCTTTGTTTCATTCTTGCTGTTCTGAAAATTCCTCCTCTGTACTCTCCTTTCTGTTTAGAGAACTTCCTTGAGCCTTTTTGTTGTTGTTGTTGAGATGGAGTCTCGCTCTGTCGCCCAGGCTGGAGTGCAGTGGCATGATCTCAGCTCACTGCAAGCTCTGCCTCCCAGGTTCACGCCATTCTTCTGCCTCAGCCTCCCCAGCAGCTGGGACTACAGGCACCCACCACCACGCCCAGCTAATTTTTTGTATTTTTATTAGAGACGGGGTTTCACCATGTTAGCCAGGATGGTCTTGATCTCCTGACCTCGTGTTCCACCTGCCTCGGCCTCCCAAAGTGCTGGGATTACAGGCGTGAGCCACTGCGCCCCGCCCCTTGAGCCATTTTTTTAAAAAAATGGGTTTGTTAGAAGCAAATTCTCTTAGGTTTCTTTCTTTTCATTCGTCTGAGAATAACTGGATTTCTGTCTCCTTATTGCAGAAGAGTTTTACTGGACATAAACCTCTGGTTGGCAATTTTTTTCTTTCAGCACTTCAAATATTTGAGCTACATTCTTCTGTTGTTTTCTTCTTTCTGGTAGTAACGCCACTGTTATTCACATTGTGTTTTTCCTATAAGTATGGTATTATTTATTTGTAGCTGCCTTTTAAACATTTTCTTTGTTTTAATTCTCAGAAATTTGACTACAGTGTTGCTTGGCATAGATTTCCTTGGATGTATTTTGGTTGGGATTTGCTCAGTTTCTTGGATCTGCAGGTTTATGCCCATTCCAAGTTTGGGGGATTTTCAGCCTTTCTATCTTTGAGTCCTCTTTCAATACCATCCTCATTGTTCTCTTTTTCTGAGACTCAGACTGCATGATTATCACATCATTTGTTATAGCCTTTCATATTTGTGACACAGTGTAAATTTTTTTCAATTATTTAACCCTGCGTGTTCAGAGTATATAATTGCTATTAATCCAACTTCAAGAACACTATTTCCTCCATCATTTTCTTTCTGCTGTTGATCACATATAATGATTTTTAAGAATTTTACACATTATATATCACAGTTGTAAAATTTCTATTTTATTATCTTATATACTCCATTTTTCTCTGCTGAGAAGTTTTTTCTTTTATTTTGAGAGTGTACACATTGACCTCTTGAAGGATGGCTATAACAGCTGCTTTAAAGTCTCATCATTTCAATATCCAAGTTGCTTCCAATTTGTTATCTCTTGATTATTTCATTCCTTAATAATTGGTCAATTATTTCTGTTTTTTGAAGTACACTGGGTAATTTTCTATTTTGTCTTGCACACATGCATTTGCTCTGTTTGCAATACACAAAAAGTACAATAAAGCAAGCTCTGAACATTGGAGGGCAGAGGCAGTCATGCTACATCGTAATCCACCCGGTGGTTCGAATGCCAGAAGGATTTGTCCCACTATCATTTTTCTACTTGGAGCTTGTGCCTGGATGTTTCTCTCTGGCTCTAATGAGGCAATGTTATAAGTATTTAATATCATACCATACATTTAAACGTAAAAGCTACAAAATGTGCATCAAATGTGTCCCAAGAGTCCTATTTACAAAGTCTTTCCATCTTTTTTCTTTTGTGTGCTGTTGGCTCAAAGCACATGAATTGAAGTCAGGTACTTCTTTTTCCTTTTCTTCCTACAGGAATAGCAGAAGTTGACACCTGCTTATTAGAAGCTATCACAGTAGTCAGGCGGCTCTGCTGTCTTCTGATTGGGGATTGATAGAGTGCAGGACAATGAGGCTCAGGTAAAAAGAATATCTACAGGGCTGGCATGGTCGCTCATGCCTGTAATTCCACTACTTTTGGAGGCTGAAGTGGGAGGACTGCTTGATGCCAGGAATTCCAGGTCAGCCTGGGCAACATAGTAAGATCCTCTGTCTTTACAAAAAATTACAAATTTATCCTGTCTCAGTAGGTGTGCCTGTAGTCCCAGTGACTTGGGAAGGTGAGATGGAAGGTTTACTTGAGCCCAGGAGATTGAGGCTGCTGTGACCCACGTTTGTGCCACTGAACTCTAGCCTAAGCAAAAGAGCAGGTCCCTGTCTCTAAAAAGGAAAAAAAAAAAGAATGACTAGAACAACCAAAAAGGCCTTTTCTCCTTCGCTTTTTGCCCAGATTCTACTTTCTTTAAAGTGCATCTCCCAGTGTCCAGGGAGGCCACAGGCTTGAGGTCTCTTCCTTTCCTTTCCCTCACATGCCACTGTGGCTTCATCCTATGTGTCGAAGCATACCTTCTCCCACTCTCATAGAAACAAGTAATGTGGTGATTTGAGCAGCTATAAGCAATTTTAGTCCCTACCCTACTTGATGTCTTGCAACATTTTGGGATGAGTGTATAGGACCTTTGGTCCCCCTTGGGTCAGTGAGATCTCAGGCCCAGCCTGAATCCTTAACGGAATTGAGATCTGAGTAGAGGAAAAGAAGTAATAAAGGAGATATGGACTAAGTGTCTTCATGCAAGTAAGCAAGACACATGTACTTTTAAATTCAAGTAGTGCAGACACTGCTCAAGACTCAGCTGAATACACACCCAAATTTAAATCTCTCCAGTGACCTGGAACAGCTTTGGGGGATGTTTAATCCTTCTATCTCCTGTTATATGTGGAAGAGAGTCAAAATTAAAGTCTCATTTGGGAAGTTTGTTTTAATTCTAACACCTGATACTCAGGTTTCAACCATTTCCCAATCCTAATCATTAACGGGCAACATAAGGGGAGAATATTGAGAATATTTATTGACCAATCATCATACATTTTTGTCAGCATGTCAGATATTGGTGTGTCTTTTTTACATTATTAACTGAATAATAATGGATGCCCTTTACAGACATTATGACATTATGAAACAAAAAGGAACCCAAAGGAAACAAATGAAGATTGTAATGTGGATGCCTAATGATTTTCCATCAGAACTCTCACACAACAGCCCTGTTTGATGAGAGAAATGAGCAGGAGCACTGTTGTGGTAAAGGACTCTGCTGAAGCTCCCCCAGGCATTTCTCCACTAAAGCTTTGGCTTTCTCAAAATATTCTCAGAATAAGTCGTTATTGTCAATCGTTTGCCCTCCAGAAAGTCAACGAGAAAAATGCCTTGAGCTTCCCAATAATCTCTTGCCATGACCTTTGCACTTTCCTTATCCACTTTTGCTTTGACTGGACTTTTCCACCTCTTGGTAGCTATTGCTTTTACTGTATTTGTTTACCGGATTTTACTTGTAGAGCCAGATTGCATCTCCCATTACAATTCCTTGAAGAAATGCTTCAAGATCTTCATCCCCCTTATTTAAAACTTCATGGAAAGCTCTGCTCCTGTCTGTAGCTTATCTTTTTGCCACAGTTTTGGCATCCATTGAGGGAAAACTTTACTCAACATTAATTATTCAATTAGTATCAGGTGAGGGAAACCAATTGAGAATTTTGTAGTGTTGGCTGTTGTTTGTACTGTTAGTCATTCGTTGTCTTCTAATAGAGTATAAACAAGATGAATTTTATCCATGCAATTTGATGTGAATCCTCTGTCTCTATGGGCTGTAGGTTCTACGTCATCTCATTCCTTCTTGAAATGAGTTACCTACTTGTAAACTGCCAATGTTTTGGGCCACTATCCCCATCAGTGTTTCAGAAAGCATCGTGGATTTCACCTTCTTCTACCCAAGTTTCACCATGAATTTGATGTTTGTACTCTCTTTAATTTTAGAAGAATTCATGTTGCTCTTATAGGGGATCTTTTGAACCTGCTCTTATTTTTCTTGATGCCTCAAGTAGCTCCTGTTCAGACATGTTAGAGCATGTCAGTCTGAGTTTATTTTGGTGCAAAAGAAAATTGGAATCCATTCATGTTATTTTTTAATATAACATACATTTTCCTTGAACATTTTAAAGTCCCATTGCATTGCAGGGAGGCTTCCTAATACAATAAGGTTTGCTATAGTTAACTTTGAGTTTTCCTACTGATTAGGCAAATTGTTTTCTTATTTCTCCTGGCATAAATAGAGACATTTGTTGAAGGAGGAATATAATACCATAGATGAAACATTCTCTAGCTATGTGGAAAGTTAAACGGTTTTAACTAGGCTTCACATGCTTTAAGGGAGGCACAGAGTAACTCCTTAGGCCGACCAGATGCCCTGATGTTAAATGATTATCTCTGGTTTCACCAAACATTATTTCAAAAAAGACACTGAACATGAACAGTCTTGCCTATGTAGCTTATGGTGGCCCTTCAGGTAGTAAAGGGAGGTCAGAGAGAAGGAGCAGAAGGGAGTGCCAGGTAGATGTGCGTATGGTGGAGGAAGCTGTAGTCCTGGTTGGAAGCAGGCTTCTGCTTGTCTGCTAAGTCCAGGAAGAGAACATGTGATGCTTCCAAATATCACTCAGCTCATGCCCTATTCCTGACCTTCTCCAGTGTCAGCAATGAGTGAAAGAGATTAGTGTATCAGGAAGAATAAATATCAGGTATGAACCCACCAGACACAACCAAAACAGAGATGATCAAAGAGCTGAAAGAGACACTGTCAGTGACATAGGATAGAGTCAAAGCAAGGAGCAAGACTGTAGCAGGAGCTTAGGCACCTGTACATGCGTCAAAGACCTCAGCCATCCACCTTCCATCTAAAATGGTCGTAAATTTACCATGCACCAAGGAGGCATCTTAATTCCAACTTCCTAAAACCTGCTATCCTATGAATTTCTTTGTTATAGCTGCCCAAACAAAATATCATGAACTGAGTGTCTTAAACAACAGAAATTATTTTTTCACAGTTCTGGATGCACAAGTTCATGATGAAGGTGTCAGCAGGTTCAGTTTTTCTGGGGCCTGTCTGCTTGGTATCTAGATATCTGCCTTCTTGCTGTGTCCTTACATGGGGCTGCCTCTGTGCATATGCACTTCTCAAGTCTCTCTGTCTGTGCACATTTCCAATTCTTATAAGAACTCCATTCTGATTGGATTTTGTCCCACTGTAACACCCTCATTTTAAGTTGATCACCTCTTTTTAGGCTCTTTCTCTAAGTGCAATCATATTCAAAGGAATAAAGGGTTGGCCTTTCAACATATGAATATAGGGAACAGAATTCAGCCCATAACACCACCCAATCCCTTTTCAGTAAATGACTGATGTTTCCTTCAGTTATTCAAATATATGGGAGTCACATTTGCCTTTTTCTTCCCTAGGTCAGGTCCATTAGAAAATTCAGTGGATTCCACCTCAAAATATATTGCAGTATGATCACTTGCATATTCTCTGGCACATGGCTCTTGTATGTGCCGTGATTCTCTCTCCCGGAGGATGTCAACAGCCTCCATCTGGTCTTTGTAACATTCTTGTTACATCTCATACCAATTCTCCCCACAGTAGTCAGAGTGATCTTTTACAAATGGAAATGAGATCATATAAATTGTGTGCTTCAAATCTTCTACGGTTTTTTTGTTTTACTTGTAAGAAGATCTAACATACCTGAGCTATTTCATACCCACATGGCTCTCCCTTACTTGAATAGTGGGAGGTTCTTTAAATGGGACATAAAGAAGAACCTTCTTCAACTTCACCATACGCTAGTTTGTCTGGAACACTAAAAGGTGGATAACCAGGTAAAATGAAATTTGACCACATGGATTAACTCCTGCTGAGATCATGTGAATGGCATTGAGTCCCTGTGGTGTGAGAGGAGTTCATGTGAATTGGGAGAATCCTTCTGTCCATTGAATCAACTAAGTGTTCTCCTGATATAATTAGCAATTAAAAATAATTCTCTGTGAGGATTAATTTTGCATAGATTTATCTAACAATTGTGGCTACACTTTTATGATACTGGACCATATATTTTAATACTACATGTTGTCTTCATAAAAATATATTTCACAAATAGTTTAGTGGTTTTCATATTCTATGAGCCTATTGTAGCCATGACTAATTATAATAAAAAAACTATTATGCATTACTAATGCCATTTAATCTTCTGAATCATCTTATTCAGTAGGAGTAATTTTTATCCCTATGTCAATTTTATTAGAATGTGACATTAATTTTATTTCATTAGGACATGGTCTTCATTCACAGACCCATGTCTTCCTCTTACAGACAGGACAGGTAATGTTACTCCTCTCAACATTGTTTCAGGGGTACATGGAGGCAGTTATCCATGATATGGTAATGTTGTTTATTCTAGACTTTTGTAAAGGGTGTGTATGAATTTCTGGAACATTAGATAATATTACATGTACTTATACCTTATAGCATGTATATGGAATAGCTTAAGTGACAAAACAAAAATGGTACATGTTGAATTTGAGGTTGTTCTGCATTTGCGCGTTTGAGTAGTTACTTCCTTGGAGTGTTGTGCGGTCTTGGTAATAAGACACTGTGAATTCTCATTCTAATTCTGCTGCTTAACAGTTGGATAGTTACTTGCAAAGTCCAGCTTTCTCTAATAAAATGAGACCCTAAGTCTTACTCAGACCAGCTCCAAAGTGCCAGCAGTGAGTATGATGCTTGAAAGTCAGGAGACAGGTGGATAATTCAGAAGAGTCAGCCCAGCATCAGAGGCAGCACCTGGAGCTCTTCACAAAGTACCTTCCTGGGCATCCAATCCCCCAGCTGTGAAGAACGTGATTCCTCAAAACTCTTGCAATTTGCATATAGCTTTCTGATTGTCTTAGTGTCTACTCTTAATTATGAACAGAATCAAAGGAACACTAGACAATTAAAAACTATCTCCATCAAATGAGAGTCAGAGAAACAGGAAAAAAAGGGAATGCAGAGAAAACAGAGACAAGAGGCAATGGAAACCTTTAAGAGATGATAATTAATATATCCTGAGAGATAAAAATAGACACCATGCTCATATAGAATAGGAAGCAATTAAATTAAAAAATTGACCAGAAAACAAATGAAATATGTGGAATTGTAAACATAGCTGACAAATTCAATAAAATATAAAGTTAAGAAACTCTCATGTAAAGTAGGAAAAAAGGCAAAAAGATGTTCCATAGATGCAAATTTTTTTTTAAATATCAACTATCATGAATTTCAAACCAAGAAATCTGAGAATATGTTGAGAAAGACATTAGCAATGAAACAATAAAATACATGTCCCAGAACTAAAGGATAATCACCATTTTGAAAGGGCCCAATTAATATCCAAAAGCCCAAATTTAACATTTGCAGGACTCAGTACAAGAATACAAATGGTGTCTTATATACCCTATGTCTGAATAATCACATGTTATAAAGCATGTGCTTCCCTGCACCAATCCTGACCCTGAAAGCTGAGAGGTGGGAGGAGCGGGACGCACAGGGCTGTCTGCTGGAGCAGCAGACCAGAAGCTGGGTTGGGGAACAGGACTGATCTGGTTAAGCTCCTACAGAGCATACCAGGCATCTTGTGCTTCCCCATGCCTCGCTTCTAATTTTAGACTACCAGAAAGTCCTTAGCAGTTCCGAATAATACCTCCACTGAGCACAGGACTAGTAGGGAGTGAAGTTGGGCAGTGTGGGTGAACCTGTCTACCTAGATGTCCTATTTGGTCCAATTCAGTTGGCTAACCTCAAAAGCACAGAAAACTACAATAAAAATAGATAAATGGGACTGAAACTAAAAAGTTTTGGCACAGAAAACAAAATCATCAACAGAGTCAACAGACCATCTACAAAATGAGAGAAAATATCTGCAAACTATGTATCAACAGGGTATAATATCCAGAATATACAAGAAACCCAAACAACTCAACAGCAACAAGAAGATATTCTATTATGAAGTAGACGAAGGACAGAAATAGACATCTTTTCAAAGAAGACATAGAAATGACCAACAGTATGTGAAAAATGCTCTATATCACTAATCATCAGAGAAATAAAAATCAAAACCACAATGAGATATCACCATACCCCAGTCAGAATGGCTATGATTAAAAAAACAAAAAATAACAGATGTGGGTGAAGATGTGGAGTAAGAAGAACTCGTATACTCTCTGAATGAAATGTAAATTATTACAATCTCTATGAAAAACAGTATTTCTCAATAAACTCAAACTAGAACTATCATTCAATCTAGCAATCTTACTGCTAGATATCTATCCAAAGGAAAGGAGATCAGTATATGAAAAGTATATCTGGACCATCCCGGCTAAAACGGTGAAACCCCGTCTCTACTAAAAATACAAAAAAATTAGCCGGGCGTAGTGGCGGGCGCCTGTAGTCCCAGCTACTTGGAAGGCTGAGGCAGGAGAATGGCGTGAACCCGGGAGGCGGAGCTTGCAGTGAGCCGAGATCCCGCCACTGCACTCCAGCCTGGGCGACAGAGCGAGACTCCGTCTCAGGAAAAAAAAAAAAAAAAAAAAAAAGAAAAGTATATCTGCACTTCTGTTTATGGTAGCAACGTTCACAATAGGAAAGATATGACATCAGCCTAACTATCCATCAATAGGTTTGTGGATAAAGAAATTGTGGTACATATACACAAGGCAATACTACTCTCCAAAGAAAAAAATAAAATCACTCACTTTGCAGCAATATGAGTGGAACTGGGCATGACAGATGATGTGTTAAGTGAAACAGGCCAGACACAGAAAATCAAATATAACATGTTCTCACTCATACACGTGGTGTTAAAAAAAAAAAAAGAATGCGTTTACATAGATGTAGAGAGTGGAATGACAGTCAATGTAGACTTGGAAGGGTGAGGAGGTGGGAGAGAGGTAATAGTGAGACATTAATTAATAAATGCACTCTATGTTATTCTGGTTATGGATACCCTAAATCCCTGAATTACTCAGTATGCAATATATGCACATAACAAAATTACCATTGCACCACATATATTTATACATATAAAATTTAAAAATAAATAGAGGACAAATCTAAGCATATCTTTCAAAAATAAAAATGGAGAAGAAGAATGAGAAGGAGAGGAAGAAGAAGATCAGTGTGGCCATAGCAGAGTCAATTAGGTATAGAGCAGTCAATAAGTTCACCATAAGATTGGGTTTTGTTCTACTGTAACACTCTCATTTAACTTAATCATCTCTTTTTAGGCCCTGTCTCCAAATACCGTCATACTCTGAGGAACTGGCGGCTTCAACATATGAGTAGGGGGAGCATAGTTAGCCCAGAACACTACCCAATCTCTTCTCAGTCAACAACAGCTATTTCATTCAGTCATTCACAAACATTGGATTCACATTTGCCTTTCTCTCTGCTAGCCCTGGTTGTTAGCAAATCCAGTGGGTTTCACTCCTCATAATGCATTGCAATATGACCACTTGCATAATATTTACTACAGGGCTCTGCTTCAGGCCATGATTCTCTCTCCTGGAGGACATTAACAGCCTCCATCTTGTCTTGGTAACATTCTCGTTACGTCCCATATCAGGTCTCCTCACAATAGTCAGAGTGATCTTTTAAGGATAGAAATTAGATCGTATCACTTTTGTGTTTCACCTCCAAGATTTTCCCATTGCACTTGCAAGAAGATCTAAATTTCATACCTCAGCTCCTTCACAACCAGATGTTTATCTCTTTATTGATGAGTGGGAAGCTCTCTGTACGGGACAGAAAGCAGAATCTTCTTCAGCTTCACCATGCACTAGTTTGTTGGAAGCACTAAAGAGTGGTTTACCAGGACAGATGAACATTGATAGAGTAGATAAACTAGTGCTGTGGGTGACTAAGTTGCTTTAGGTCGCTGTGGCCTGAGAGAAGTTCATGTGAATTGGAAAAATTGCTGTGTGCATTGAATTAATTAAGCTTTCTGATGATATAATTAGCATTTAAACATAATTGTCTCTGAAAATTAAACATTGCATAGATATTCCTAAAAATTCAGGCTACACTATTATGATAGTGATTTATATATTAATAATTTCATTGGATATTGACTATTCATAAATGTATATTCCACAATTATTTTACCTTTTATGTATTTTGTCAACTTTCCATAGCCTCAACTGTTTATAATAGGAAGTGTTTATTAAGCATTTGCTATATGCATTGAATCTTCAGTACCATCTTCCTAGGTAGGTATGATTGCTAGTATCTCAGTTTTACATATGAGCTGACGAAGGCACGTGGCAAGGTTGTTGTGAAGGTAGTACCTGGTATAGAGGGCAGGCAGTATCCAGAGCACAAGTTCCTGGTTGCTGTGTTCCACTGCTTGCTCGCTATTTATTTATTTAGAAGGTGAGAGGGAATGAGGTCCATAGAACAGACATAGGCACTTGTATTGGACTGTTCAGGCAAAACTTTTCCTGAGATCCTAGGAGGTGAGGTGAGAGAAAAACTTTTTCTTGAGTAAATAATTTTTTTTTTTTTTTTTTAGACATGGTCTCACTCGGTCACCCAGGCTGGAGTGCAGTGGCAGGATATTGGCTCACTGCAACCTCTGCCTCCCTGGCTCAAGTGATCCTCCCACTTCAGCCTCCCAAGTAGCTGGGACCACAGGTGTGCACCACCATGCCCAGCTAATTATTGTATTTTTTGTGGAGATGAGATTTTTCCAAGTTTCTCAGGCTGGTCTTGAACTCCTGGGCTCAAGTGTTCCTCTCACCTGGGCCTCCCAAAGTACAGGGATTACACGTGTGAGCCACTGTGCCCGGCCCAATAAGTTTGTTTTTGAATCATAACACATTTACGTAGGTTTCTAGTGTCCTGTTTCCCCTCCTTTTCATATAAAGATATCTCATATAGATTAATTTTTTGTTGTTGCAATTACAAATTCTCAATGTAGATCATGTGTGTACTTCCTTAATGTGTGCTTACATGCATTTTTCTAGGGAGACGTATTATCTTTGGCAAGATTTGTGGATGCCCTTTTAAGTGGCAGAAACTTGGATTATTCTAATAAGAATGAATCTAAAATTTTAGAAATCCAAGTGGGAGACTGGTCAGAGAGTTGTCTATGAAAGGATAAATTTGGCCGGGTGCGGTGGCTCACGCCTGTAATCCCAGCACTTTGGGAGGCTGAGGCAGGTGGATCAACTTGAGGACAGGAGTTCAAGACCAGCCTGGCCAACATGGTGAAACCCTGTCTCTACTAAAAATACAAAAATGAGTTGGCTGTGGTGGTGCATGCCTGTAATCCCAGCTACTCGGGAGATCATGCCACTGCACTCCAACCTGGGTGAGAGAGTGAGCCTCTTGTCTCAACAAAAAAAAAAAACAACAAAACACAGTCTCCTCTTTCATCCAGTTGAAATTAACTATTGTGATTACTATGTGGCAGAGCTCTGAAATTAGTTTTTAAAAATAACTAGGTAGGTAATAGTCCCCAAATATTGAATAACCAAGTTTTCTTCAGTGATTGATGCTATCTTAATTATATATTAAATTTTCACACATGTATGGCTCTATAGCTCAAGATTTATTGACCATTACAGTGTGCCTACTATGGTGATATATGCTGTATGTTCATTAGCTCTTTTAATCCCTAATTTAGCCTTTTGATTATTTCTTGCATCATGTTCACTTTTCAGATAAAGGAACAAAAGCTTAATATAATTGAGTGACTTTCACAAAGCCATACACTTAAACACTTTCTAAGTATCAGCATAGGTAGGAAGTACAATGGAAAGAGAGAGAATGAGAAAACAACCTTCTTTAGAACAATTTAAAAATTTCTAGGATCATATAATAAGAAATGCACAGGTTTTAGTTGAAGAAAAATGACCAAATTTTTGTGCAGATTACACACTACATATTCATCGAGTCATTCCAATTCTACAGTTTTGTTTAACTTCTTGTTTGCTGACATTTCCTCTTCCATTCTCCTTGTCCCTGGGTATTTCTTTTTACTTCTGTATTATAATTTTGTTGGAACATTGGGAAATAGCAGAAGTAAATACATGTGTTCAATGCACCATGTCTAAATAACAACACGAGTCCTATTTCTAATGTGCAGTGTTCATCATGTTACTTCCCAGCTGATATGGTTTAGATGTGCGTCCCCTGCAAATCTCACTCTGAAATGTGATCCCCAATGTTGGAGGTGGGGCCTGGTGGGAGGTGTTTGTGTTATGAGGGTGGATCCCTCATTAATGGCTTGATGCTGTCCTCGAGGCAAGAATGAGTTCCTTCAGTTATTAACATGAGATCTGATTGTTAAACAGAGCCTGGCACCTCCTCCTCTCTCTTTTGCCATGTGACACGCCTGTTCGCCCTTAGCCTTCTGCCATGAATAAAAGCTTCCAGAGGCCTCCCCAGAAGCTGAGCAGACGCTAGTACCATGCTTGTACAGCCTGCAGAACTGTGAATCAAATAAACATCTTTACCCAGTCTCAGGTATTCCTTTGTAGAAATGGAAAATGGCCTAATACACTGGCTTCATACTCTTTGATAGCATTCCAATATCCTTAGGTTGAAGAGAAATTCCTTAACATAGCTTTAAAGAGCTTCTGTAAATGGTTCCTTCGCTTATCTCTTTCTTTTAAAATTTATTCAAGTTGCTTTACAACACAGATTGCTGTTACCTGTGTTCCTAATTTTAGCAGAAGAATCTGTGCAGACCATTTTTTACTAGCTGCATTAAATATAACATGACCATGAGTTCATAATCATACGGTTATTTTTCAGAAGGTTGATGAGTAAACTCAACCTATTTTTTGAACCCTGGAAACAATTTTAAGTGAACACTGCATTCTATTTTAATATTCTAGCACATGTAGTTTCCTATAACAAACCCCTATAGTTTCAAGCCTACCAGTGAAGAGGCTTTAGGACTACTAAAATAACCCTCTGGATAGACAGGAATATCCTTTGTCCCTTCCATTATACAGACATGCGCAGAACTCAAGTTTATGATAAGATACAGAAAGGTTTTTGATTTCTCTTAAATTTCCACTAAATATTTCTGTTTTCCAGCTTAATTCAGTTTATACTTTTTTCCTGATTGTCTCAGAAATGTCTTTACACTTTTGTAGAATGAATGCAAATTATTTAAATTAGGATCCACACAAGGTTGACATGTTGCATTTGATCAGTTTTGAATTTTCTACACAGCAATTGAAGCTTAACTTTTGGATTCTTTCATTTGCAAAGGCCCTTTCCATGACCCTGCAAGGGCCTTAGCAAATTTCTGTTCCTAATTTTGTATTATTTTTCTTAAACAGAACAATTGAAATTACATCAACTTTAGTCTCCCCCAAACCTGGAACCTTCCCTACACTTAGTTGTTATGTTTTATATTCGGCAAAGGACATTCACCCTCCTTTCTTCCCATGCAATGAACTTACTGATTAAGTGGATGACATGTCCTCAGAACTATCACACATTCTAGATTTGCTTGGTGTTTATTTGTGTGTGTGTCAGTTAACTTCACACTCCATCCCCTGTATTTCCTGGAAACTGGAAGTTGGTTGTAAAGGCTTTAGAATTCAAAACTCTGGTTTAATACTTGAATCTATCTCTCACCACTCCGTCATCTCACTCCATGTTCCACCCACATTAAAAAAATCTTTCTATTCTTCAAGGGCTCTGTGCTTTGTCTCAACTTCAATACTTTGTATATTCCGTTCATCCAATATGAAAATCTTTCCATTAATTTTATTGTTTAAAATCTGTCCTTCCAGTCTGTGTCCACTCTTCTGCCTGCCCTGCAATACCTCCTAGATCTCACTGTTCTGTGGTTCCTCAGCCCCCTGTCCACCTCTACCTTACCTGTTGCCATTATTTGTTTGATTATTCAGTGGATATGAAATCCAAAGACCATGAGTCCAAGTGTGTGGAAAAATATCACTTTCTTTTCTTTATCTGATCTTAGTCAATTTTTCTTGCTGTATTATGTTAAAGTCTAGTCAACTCAAGGTAAACCCAGTAATTTCAGAGCCCTCCCACTCCTACGTCCATCCTGCCTTCTTCCTGAGGTAGCATACAATTCTATCAAGCATTAGTGGGGCTGGGGTGGGCCTGGTTGTTAGTCATCTGCTGCTGCACCTTTATCCATGCAGGTCTCCACTGGTTGCTCTGACACTGGCACTGGCCGAAGCTTTTGAGCTTCTACTTGGCTCTAGTTCTTAGTCCCCTCTGACATCCACTACTGTGTCCCTCTGTCCAAAGGACTACCCGTCTCTCTGGCTCAGCCATCAGACCATATTCATACCTATTCTGGTAACCTGAGAAAGTATTTTGCCCTTGACTGTACCATGCCAGGGTAGACAGTGACCATTTGTCTAAGCATCTTTATGCAGTTAGTTCTTTCTTTTATTCTTTTGAAAGCTTTATTGAGGTATCATTGGTGTATAAAAGTTGGACACATTTAATATGTATATATATATCTTGATGAGTTTGGCCCTAGGGATCCACCTGTGATAACATCACCACAACCAAAGTACTGAGCATATCCTGTCATTTCTAATCTATTGTGTAGATTATCCTGCTGGACAGAAAGTTTTCTTTAACCAGGCTTGCTGCCTCCTCAGGCTTCACCAGGCCAGACACAATTGTCTTTTACTTTCCTTTTTCCAAATTTATTTGAGGTTCTGTTACTCCCTCCTGTGTGCTTCAAATCTGCTGTAGGTTTTAGGGGTGGGAGACAGGTTGTAGAGGGCCCTTCTCAGAGACCTATAAAGCATCTATCTCTGTTGAATTCCTCTTAGATCTTTTTTTTTCTACCCCTGAATCCAGGATACTTTTATCTGTGCCAGGGAACCCGTGCTTTCTAAGTATTCTTTAAAACTTACAGTTAAGCTCAGATCTTGGACAAGAGTTAACTTTTGTCTCCCTCTGTTTTTTTTTTTTTTTCATCTTGGAACACCCTGGACAGAAGAAAAATTAGGATTGTGGTCAATAAGAGCAGTCCACATTATAGCTAAAAATGTGGAGCTAATTGTCACATCTGAACTATAAAGTGAAACACAAGTAGGAGTCTACATAATGAGCTCAAATACCAGGATTGTCAGAATTGGGTGAGGATGTGAAATAAGAAGCTCAAGATAAAGAGAACACACTACTAGGAATTTATCCAAAGCAAAGGTAATTATTATATTAAAGAGACATCTGCACTCTCATGTTTCTTGCAGCACTATTCACAATAGCTAGGATAGGAAATCAACCTAGGTGTTCATCAATAATGAATGGATAAACTGTGGTATACATACACAGTGGAATATTATACAGCCATAAAATAATGAAATCTTATCATTTGTGGCAACACAGATGGAACTGGAGGACATTATGTTAAGTGAAATAAGCCAGGAACATAAAAATTAAACGCTGCATGTTCTCACTCACATATGGAAGCTAAAAAAAGTTGATCCCATAGAAGTAAAAAGTAGAACCAAGAATCCTAGAGGCTGGGAAGGGAAGGGGGAAGGGAGGAATAGGGAGAGATTTGTTAAAGGGTACTAGCCAGATAGGAGGATTAAGTCTTAGTGTTCTGTGTAGGATGACTACAGTTAGCAATAATACATAAGAAAATTAAGACAAGGTAATCAAATGGTGAAAAGATATCTGAAGCTTGGAATACCTGTGTTGCTTCATGAGGAGAGAGCTAATCTGAGGAAGATTCACAGTTTTAGGGATTGTAGGAGGAAAGACTGAGAAGCGAAATTGTTATTGGAGTTCTCAGGAAAAGCCCAGCACAAAGACAGCCAGGCAATAACATTGAGGCAGAAGAGTTTTTCTCAGGGGAGAATGTTCCCTTACCATGCTAATCTATCTTGCTGTGTCCCCAATCAGATACAGAGAATTTGAGCCAGATCCCAGTGTATAGCCTCATATAAACCTGCAGTGTTTCTTAAGCTCGCCTGAAGGCATTTGGAATAGGATTTTCTCCCAAATTCAATGACAAGATTCCTAATTGATATTGTACAGAGATGATAATTACATCTCTTATTACCTTTTCTTAGAGATAACTGTGTTAAAATTGGAGCCTTTCTCCTATAAACAGGTGTGTGGCCCTGTTATTTGGAAACATGGTTCTTCTCAATAGTGGTAAGAATTAAGACTTAAGGTGCTCAAATGATGAGAGGATATTTGAACTGCTGGGTTCTTTCTTGCTCTTGCTGGGTTATTTCTTGCTTTTCCTGAGGGCTGAGAACATCTTAACAGAGCCATGCTAGATTTCTGTTGTGACTTTGTTGAAAAATAGGCTGACTCTGATCACACTCTTTTGGTTCTTTTGATCAAGTCAATCTTTGGTTGTACGAGGTAGAATTGGTGACCCCCACGCCTTGTCTATCAATCAAATATTTGTAACCTGGTTGTCATAAGCTTTCTTTTTCTTTTTTCTTTCTTGATATATGTCACCTGCTGTTCCCTGAGAGGCCTTTGGAAATTTTAGTCTTATTCTCTGCGGCGCTTTCAGGTTTCTTCTCCACTCATTTTAATGTCTTTTCTCCACTTTCAACAATCTATCATATTTCCATTTTGGGCTCTGTTCACACCAGAGTCCTTGCAGCATAATGTGGTATATTTACTGCTTCTCCCCTGAATATCTACTGTGTCCCCACTCTGTTAAAGATCACATAAATAGATTATTGGGAGGGAACATGTAGTTATTTAAATCAGAAAGTCTTTCTAAAGGACAGTGATGTACATGGGAAGTATAAAGATGATAACTTTAATGTAGTGGGAAGTCTTAGGTCTTTGAAAAGGAGGTGTCCTAAAAGAACACTGCATTTTTTCTCCTCAACGTCATGGACTTTACCCACATTTCCCTTCATCATGTGTTCTTCACTCTTTCCCCTTGGGGAAACCCATCTCTCCTCATAGATATTAGTTCTACACTCAGGCTCTTGTTATGATTTGTGCACTGGAGCTCCTCCAGCTTAAGCTGCTAGCACAGAAAGATCTTCCAGGTAGCAGCTGCATTCCAAAGATGGAGATATAAGGCCCAGTTCCATGAATGTGAGTACCACATGGCATTCAGTATCCCTTTCAAGGTTCACTGTAGCTAAATCCCCACTTAAAAAAATATAGTATGCAAATAATGCTGCCAAGGCAAGTATTAATTTTTATCAGACACATAGCATAATTTCTGATGCGGAGAGCCAGTGCTCCTGTAATGATTTTAAAGATATGACTACAAATTATTTGGTATTCCTCCCCTCAAGCAGAGGAGCTTCATTACTGGGGCTTTGAATGATGGGCTGCACTTGCTTCAACTGCATAGAATATGGCCGAAGTGATGAGATGTCATCTCTGATATTAGGTCACAAAAAGACTGGGATTTCCATTGTGGGTGGACTCTTTTGCCCTCTCTTGAATCACAGCTTGCTGTGGGGGATCCAGTTGCCATGTCATAGGGAAACTTAGGGAGAGTGAACCCATTTACCACGTTGTGAGAACACTTAGCCTATGTCTATACAGCGAGGAACTGAGGACCGACACCAGCAACTATGAATGAGCATGGGAATATATCTCCCCCTGCTGAGCCTTGAGGTCACTGCAGCTCTAGCTGACAGCTCCACCACAACTTCATGAGAGACCATAAGTCAGGGCCTCCCAGCTAAGCTGCTCCTGAATGCTTAACCCACACAAATGGTGAAGTAACAGGTGTTTATTATTTTAAGGTGCTAAATTTGGGGTAGTTTGTGGCACAGCAACAAATAACCAAATCACCTCCTGTTAATACCTTGCCCCTTCCAAAACAACAACTCTTGCAAGAAACTCAAAGAAACAACTCTTGTGGTAAGGAAAACATACCTATTTCCTCAGCCTGGCAGATATTATTGTATCTGATATGCAGGAGGTAATTTGTTGTGGGGGTTGTTATCTCTGATAACCCAGAAAGATATTTTTAAAATTTCTTTTAATAAATGAAGGGATATGGATCTTCCCAGTTCATTCCACTACTAATATTCTCCATCAAGAGGAGATCATTTGTGGTGTGTAGAGAAAAACAACCTTAAAATCCAAGGTGTATAATAAAGAAGTAGGAAAACCCATAAAACTTCAAATATATTCATGTTCTTAGATCAGTCGCATCTTGTGTTATGGGGAACTTGTAGATGTGATCAGACAGTCAGAAATATTTGAGGCAAGGAAGTTCCAGGAGAGATGAGAGCATAAGCACAAGCTTTTAGAACCCCTGCCGTAAACATAATTGAACAAAGTAACATAAAAAGAGGAAAAGAAAAGAGTGTAGGGGATGATGATCAGTGCTGAAGCCATAGGAGAGGTGTTGGATTATTGGCCAGCCTGCCCAGCCTCCCTTTCTTGGGGAAACTACTTCAGTCCTTGTGGTCTCATTAGAACTTCTGATCATAGTTGCCCAAACCTCAGGCCATGGGGTTGGCATGTGATTCAATGTGTGCCCATCACAGCAGCCAGCTTTTTACCATAGCGATGGTTGAGGAATGCCATGTGATTAAAGCAGGTCTAGTCAGTGTCACCAAGTGTTTGCTGTATGAATAAACTGCTAAGATGAGGCAATGAAATACGGGGTTGCCGGCAGTCACGTGGCAGCTGGATGGAGAGAGTTGAGAGACTGATCAAAGCTTTTTGATAACATGTTGGAGCCATTGGATCTTGTCATGTTTGAAGTCCAAGTTATTTGCATTATCAATTTTTCTTTTTCACTTAAAAACTAATTTTAGTTGGACTTTTTTGATTTGGAACCAGAATGATCCTGGTGGGAAAAAGTGCTCATTGCAAAACACAAATTTTGACATATTTCTTCTGCAAGAAACAGTGTTGAACTTCTCTCAATAAGAGAGCAGCACACATTTTATGAAACAAGTAGGGGCTATTTTGTCAAATTCCGTAAATTTGAACTTTCTAAATCTGGAGGATTCGTTGCAATAAAATGGATATTCTGACTGTTTGGTAGCCCCTTTTTCTGTCACAGGACAATAGTATTTGGAGGTAAAATAGTAACATAGAGCTGTGATATCACAGGGGAGAGTTAACTATTCTTGATGCTTCTGGGTATTTTTAGTATTGTGCTTTTTAAACTGAACCTCACGTTAGAATTACCTTGGAAGTATAAAAAAATTCTTATGCCTGGATTTATCCCCAGAGGTTCTGATATAATTGGAATGGGGTGTTGCTCAGGCATTAGGAATTTTAAATTTTAAATCTTGAAATAATTTTAAACTTGCAGAAAAGTTGCAATAATAGTCAAAGAACTCTCAATTTTTATACTTCACTCAAATTTTTAATAATTTGGCACATTTGCTTTTTAAATTTCTCTTTCTCTCTTTTCCTATCTCTCTCATACATACACTATCTTTCTAATCAATTTGAGTGTGAGCTGCATATATCATGTCTTTAGCTTTTAACATCTCAGTATTTCCTAAGAACAAGAATATTCTGTTATATAAGTCTAACATAATTATCAAATTCAGGAGATCAAATACAAATATGTTACATTTTCTGTAATATGAAATCTTTTGTAAGAGGAAGAAATACACACAGTTGACACTTCAGATTTATAAAAAGCCTAAAATTAACATAGATAAATTTTTGATAACTATTTAATGACACTACATACAAGTATCTACTATAGAATACATCACACTGTGAATGTGGGTCATTTTTTCCACCAATAGACTGAGTCATTGAACACAGAAGACACATCAATTTTGTCTGTTAGCAGCATGTACAATTCTTGATATATACTAGGTGATAAGTGAAAGCATAAAGCATAAATGTTTAAATAAATAAGTTGCTGTGATTCATATAATATTTTAGAGTTATTTATTAAATAAATGATTTGGTACCTTAGCAAAAAAAATAATCACTAAGGTTTATGATAATTTCATTAAGACTTGCCAAAATTAAATTAGACACATAACTGATTTTGAAAATAGAGAATGAATTTATCAATTTGAGGACATAAAGCTGAAAGTTCTATTAAATTTGGTAGATATCAAAATCAGGATTTGAAACCTCTCAGTTCAAAACTATAATCAACCATGTTTGAAATTTTGTATTAGATTTAAAAATTACACTAGTAATAGTTTAAGCAAAATCTGTTTCAGTTCATTGCTAGTTCAATATGAGTTACAGTAGAAGTGTGAGCCAGTACGTTAGAAAATAAAATCAACATTATTGATTAATGTTGGAAATAAAATCAACCTTAGCATTAACTAACCAAAGTACAGTGACTAGACCATTGGAACTGAACATAATCAGACTCTGAAGAAATGTTCCTCAGTCCCTTGAGGAACATGAGGGTTGTCAATCTTTTCCAGAGATGCTCATGAACAGGCTCTGTGCCATTGTAGAGATTCGCCTAGGCAGATTCTCATCATTTTATAACATTTCAAGTTAGACAAAGAGCTAGATGAAATCCGAATTTTCTTTTTCTACCTGAAGTCAGCAACCTCAATGTGCAGGTTTCTTTTTTAATACTGATGTTTTTACGTCCATTGTAAAAGTATCATTTAACTCAGGCACTTTTCCCAACATGTTAAAATAATGGGAAGGAATAGAAGTTGTCAATGTACCATAACAGAATAAATATCAGAAACTCTATCACTACAGGAACTATAAAGAGCACTAGAAGAGGAATTACATGAGCTTCCTGCCAAGGATGAAGGTCAAGGGAAAGTAGACAACAATTTGTAGCGGGGCACAATATTAGCTTGTTAAGGCTCCCAAGCAATCTAGCTTTAAACCTTTACTCATTTGTGACAATCCAGGCTTTTAGATTTTTCATTTGAAACACTAGAAATTTGTTGACTTATCTCCTTTGTCATGTTAAAGAATTACCATTAATTAATTGATTTTTTAGGGGTTTATATCAAGAATAGGTGCAGAATTTTGAACTAACATCTTTTTTTGTGCCTACCAAGAGGCAATGTACAGTATTTAAGAACTTCAGCAGGAGGCAGTCTTGTTGAGGACATTTTGTTTTTCCTAACATAACACATGATATATATCTGAGCATACGTAACTGCATTATTATGTCTTTGCACACAATTTAACCAAATGTATTTTAAATACTTATTAATTATATAACTGAATAAACTTTTCTATTCCTGGGTAATAGATTTCCTGCTTCATTTCCCTTAGGTTTCTTCTGTTGTTATTATTCAATTTTGGTTGAAATGAATATTTAATTCATTTATGTTTAACTACTGAATTTATTTGCTTATGGCAAGAGATAGAAACAACGTTAATTTTTATGAACCACTTGTCTAGGATTTTATATTTTTCTATTAATATTGATAACTAGTCAGTATCTATCAAGTTTCCATATAGATATACTACAAATCCTCTTTGCCTGCTGTCTCTTCTCTTTTTCTCCACCATGTCACTTCCCACTCATGTTTGATTAAGCTAGAAGTTTATTTCTAGGTTAAAAAAATTATTTTCACAGTCTTAGGAAGTATTTCTGATTTCTTTAAGTTTTAGAGCTATTTTATTAGTAATTGTTGACAATTATTATCTATATTGCCTTCCTTCCTTACTACTATTTTCTTGGTCCTTTTGTGTTTGCTGTAGTGGAGAAATTCTTTCAAGAATCATTGCCAGTGTAAAGTGTCTTTATTTGACTTCACAATTAAATGGTAGAAATCTTATTTTAGAAGTTATCCTTTAGGAATTTGAAAAAAAAGAAGTCAAGGTCAGTATGATGTTCATGTTTTCGTTGGCAATTTTTATTTTTTTCTTCCTATTTTACATTTTAAAGACTTTGAAAATTTTCTCTTTATATTTCTATTCAGAAATCTCTCCACAATCTTTTAGCAGTGTTTTTAACATTATTTTCTCTCTTAAGTCACTTTCACGTTTGAAAATTTTTCTTCTATTATTTTATTGATGATTTATTGCTTACAATCTTTATATTTTCTTATTTTGTATCCCATATTAAGTCATATATCTTCTTTTGTATCCCATATTAGGTCCCATAAATTTCTTATTTTGTATCCCATATGTTAGAATAAGTATCTAACATATTAGATACTTATCAAAAATTTTGAATTTATTCTCTGTCTCTCTAAAATTTTCTTTTACACTTTTCTCTTTGTTCTTTTGTGTTGTATTCTGAGAAAATATTTTAACATTATCTATACCTCTAATTCAATTTTTACTAGTTCATTCTGCCATTTAGACCATGTACTCTATTTTATTTATATTTTATATTTTTTATTTCCATATGTTTTGGGGGGACAGGTGGTGTTTGGTTACATGAGTAAGTTCTTCAGTGCTGATTTGTGAGATTTTGAATACATCCATCACCTGAGCAGTATACGATGAACCCAATTTGTAGTCTTTTATCCCTCACCCCCTTCCTACCCTTTCCTCCTGAGTCCCCAAAGTCCATTGTGTCATTTTTATGCCTTTGTATCCTCATAGCTTAGGTCCCAGTTATGAGTGAGAACATCCAATGTTTGGTTTTCCATTCCTGAGTTACTTCACTTAGAATAATAGTCTCCAATCCTACTCAGGTTGCTGCGGATGTCATTAATTCATTCCTTTTTATGGCTGAGTAGTATTCCATCATATACACACACACACGTATATATAAACATATATATGTGATATATATACACACACGTATATCTATGTGTGATATATATATACACACGTATATATATGTATATGTGATATATATATACACACACATATATATATCACAGTTTCTTTATCCACTTGTTGGTTGATGGGCATTTGTGTTGGTTCCACATTTTTGTAACTGCAAACTGTGGTGTTATAAACATACGTGTGCAAGTATCTTTTTTGTATAACGATTTCTTTTCCTCTGGGTAGATACACAATAGTGGGATTGCTGGATCAAATGGTAGTTTACTTTTAGTTCTTTAAGGAATCTCCACATTGTTTTCCATAGTGGTTGTACTAGTTTACATTCCCACCAGCAGTATAGAAGTGTTCCGTTTTCACTGGATCCACACAAACATCTATTGTTTTTGATTTTTTGATTATGGCCATTCCTGCGGGAGTAAGATGGTATTGTGTTGTGATTTTGATTTGCATTTCCCTGATCATTAGTGATATTGAGCATTTTTTCATATGTTTGTTGGCCATTTGTATATCTTCTATTGGGAATTGTCTATTCATGTCCTTTGCCCACTTTTTATGGGATTGTTTATTTTTTTCTTGCTAGTTTGTTTGAGTTCATTTTAGATTCTGGATATTAGTCCTTTGTCAGATGTATAGATTGTGAAGATTTTCTCATGGTCTATGGGTTGTCTGTTTATTCTGTTGACTGTTCCTTTTTCATGCAAAACTCTTTAGTTTAATTAAGTCCCAGCTATTTATCTTTGTTTTTATTGCATTTTCTTTTAGGTTCTTGGCCACGAAATTCTTGCCTAAGCCAATGTTTAGAAGGGTTTTTCCAAGGTTATCTTCTAGAATTTTTATAATTTCAGGTCTTAGATTTAAGTCCTTATCCATCTTGTGTTGATATTTTTATAAGGTGAGAGATGAGGATCCAGTTTCATTATTCCACATGTGGCTTGCCAATTATCCCAGCACAATTTGTTGAATACGGTGTCCTTTCCCCACTTTATGTTTTTGCTTGCTTTGTTGAAGATCATTTGGCTGTAAGTATTTTGGTTTATTTCTGAGTTCTCCATTCTGTTCCATTGGTCTATGTGTCTATTTTTATACCAGTACCATGCTGTTTTGGTGACTATGGCCTTATAGTATAATTTGAAATCAGATAGTGTGATGCCTCCAGATTTGTTCTTTTTGTTTAGTCTTGTTTTGGCTATGCAGGCTTTTTTTGGTTCCATATGAAATTTAGGATTTTTTTCTAGTTCTGTGAAGAATGATGGTGGTATTATGATGGGAATTGCATTGAATTTGTAGATTGCTTTTGGTAGTATGATCATTTTCACAATATTGACTCTACCCATCCATGAGCATAGGATATGTTTCTGTTTGTTTCTGTCATCTATGATTTCTTTCAGCGGTGTTTTGTAGTTTTCCTTGTAGAGGTCTTTTATCTCCTTGATTAGGTATATTCCTATATACATCTGCAGCTATTGTAAAAGGAGTTGAGTTCTTGATTTGATTCTCAGTTTGGTCGCTGTTGGGGTATAGGAAGGCTACTGGTTTGCACACATTAATTTTGTATCCTGAAACTTTGCTGAATTCATTTATGAGATCTAGGAGCTTTTTGGAGGAGTCTTTAGGGTTTTCTAGGTATACAATCATATCATCAGCAAACAGTGACAGTTTGTGTTGTTCTTTACCAATCTGGATGCCCTTTATTTCTTTCTCTTGTCTAATTGCTCTGGCTAAAACTTCCAGTACTATATTGAATAAAAGTGGTGAAAGTGGGTATCCTTGTCTTGTTCCAGTTCTCAGAGAGAATGCTTTCAATTTTTCCTCATTCAGTATTAACTTGGTTGTGGGTTTGTCATAGATGGCTTTTACTACATTGAGGTACGATCCTTGTATGCTGATTTTTCTGAGTTTTATTCATAAAATGATTTTGTCAAATGCCTTTTCTGTATCTATCAAGATGATCTTTCGATTTTGTTTTTAATTCTGTTTGTGTGGTGTATTACATATTGACTTGTGTAAGTTAAACCATCCCTGCATCCCTGGTATGAAACCACTTGATCATGGTGGGTTATCTTTTTGATATGTTGTTGGATTTAGTTAGCTAGTATTTTGTTAAGGATTTTAGCATCTATGTTTTCATTTTTGGTTATGTCCTTTCCTAGTATTAGGATGATACTGGCTTCAGAGAATAATTTAGGGAAAATTACCTCTTTCTTTATCTTGTAGAATAATATCAATAGAATTGGTACCAATTCTTCTTTGAATGTCTGGTAGAATTCTGCTGTGAATCTGTCTGGTCCTGGACTTTTTTTGTTGTCGGTAATTTTGAAACTACCATTTCAATCTTGCTTCTTGTTATTGGTCTGTTCAGGGTATCTAATTCTTCCTGATTTAAGCTAGGAGGGTTGTATGTTTCCAGGAATTTATTCATCTCCTCTAAGTTTCCTAGTTTATGTGCATAAAGGTGTTATAGTAGCCCTAAATGATCTTTTGTATTTCTGTGGTGTCAGTTGTAATATCTCTTGTTTTGTTTCTTAGTGAGGTTATTTGGATTTTCTCTCTTCTTGTCTTGGTTAATCTTGTGAATGGTCTATCAATTTTATTTATCTTTTCAAAGAACCAGCTTTTTGTTTCTTTTATCTTTTTTTTTTTGGTTTCAATTTGATATAGTTCTGCTCTGATCTTGGTTATTTCCTTTCTTCTGCTGGGTTTGGATTTGGTTTGTTCTTGTTTCTCTAGTTCCTTGTGGTGTGACCTTAGATTGTTTAGAAAGACTTAGAAAGTTTTCCAGACTTTTTGATGTAGGCATTCAGGGCTATGAACTTTCCTCTTAGCAACACCTTTGCTGTATCCCAGAGGTTTCGATAGGTTGTGTCACTACTGTCATTCATTTTGAAGAATTTTTAACTTACATCTTGATTTCATTGTTGACCCAATGATCATTCTGGAGCAGGTTATTTAATTTCCACATAATTGCGTGGTTTTGAAGGTTCCCTTTGGAGTTGATTTCCAGTTTTATTCCACTCTGGTCTGACAGAGTATTTGATATAATTTCAATTTTCTTAAATTTATTGAGACTTGTTTTGTGGCCTATCATATGGTTTATCTTGGAGAAAGTTCCATGCACTGTTGAATAGAACGTATACTCTGAGGTTGTTGGGTAGAATGTTCTGTAAATATCTGTTAAGTCTATTTATTCCAGGGTATAGTTTAAATCCATTGTTTCTTTCTGTGACTTTCTTTTAAATCCATTGAGACTTTCTGTTTTGATGACTTGTCTAGTGCCCTCAGGGCAGTATTGAAGTCCCCCACTATTATTGTGTTGCTGTCTATCCCATTTCTTAGGTCTAATAGTACTTGTTTTATAAATTTGGGAGCTCCAGAGTTAGGTGCATACATATTCAGGATTGCCATATTTTCCTGTTGGGCAAGGCCTTTTATCCCTCTTTGTCTTTTTAAACTGCTGTTGCTTTAAAGTTTGTTTTGTCTGATAAAAGAATAGCTACTACTGCTTGCTTTTGGCATCCATTTGCATGGAATGTCTTCTTCCACCTCTTTACCTTAAGTTTATGTGAGTCCTTATGTGTTAGATGTGTCTCTTGAAGGCAGCAGATAATTGATTGGTGAATTCCTATCCATTCTGCATCTTTTAAGTGGAACATTTAGACCATTTACATTCAATATTAGTTTTGAGATGTGAGGAACTGTTTAATTTATCATGCTAATTTTTTTTAGTTGTATTTTTGTTTTATAGGTCCTGTGAAATTTATGCTTTAAAGAGGTTCTGTTTTGATGTGTTCAGGATTCATTTCAAGATTTAGAGCTTCTTTTATCAGTTCTTGTAGTGCTGGCTTTGTAGTGGTGACTCACTCGGCATTTGTTTGTCTGAAAAAGACTGTATCTTTCCTTCATTTATGAAGGTTAGTTTGGCTGGCTACAAAATTCTTGGCTGATATTGTTTTGTTTTAGGGGGCTGAAGATAGAGACCTAATCCCTTCTAGCTTGCAGGGTTTCTGCTGAGAAATCTGCTGTTAATCTGATAGATTTCCCTTTGTATCTTTCCTTCATTTATGAAGGTTAGTTTTGCTGGGTACAAAATTATTTGCTGATAATTGTTTTGTTTAAGGAGGTTGAAGATAGGGCCCTAAGCCCTTCTAGTATGTAGGGTTTCTGCTGAGAAACCTGCTGTTAATCTGATAGGTTTTCCTTTACAGGTTACCTGATGCTTTTCCCTTGAGGTTTTCCTTTATAGGTTACCTGATGCTTTTCCCTTGTGGCTCTTAAGATTCTTTCCTTTGTGTTAACTTTAGATAACCTGATGACAATGTGCCTAGGCAATGATCTTTTTATGATGAATTTCCCAAGTATTCTTTGAGCTTCTTGTATTTGGATATCTAGGTCTCTAGCAAGGCCAGTGGAGTTTTCCTCATTTATTCCCCCAAATACGTTTTCCAAACTTTTAGATTTCTCTTCCTCCTCAGGAACACCAGTTACTCTTAGGTTTGGTCATTTAATGTAATCCAAATCTTTTTGGAGTCTTTGTTCATTTTTTCTTTGTCTTTGTTGGATTGGGTTAATTTAAAAACTTTATCTTTGAGGTTGAGGTTTTTTCTTCTGCCTGTTCAATTCTATTGCTGAGACTTTCCAGAGTATTTTGCATTTCTCAAAGTGCATCCACTATTTCTTGAAGTTTTGATTGTTTTTTTATTTATGCTATATATTTCACTGAAGATGTCTCTTCTCATTTCTTGTATCATTTTTTGATTTCCTTAAATTGAACTTCACCTTTCTATGATGCCTTCTTGATTAGGTTAATAGCTGACCTTTTGAATTCTTTTTCAGGTAAATCACGGATTTCTTTTTTGTTTGGATCCATTGCTGGTGAACTAGTGTGATTATTTGGGGGTGTTAAAGAACTTTGTTTTGTCATATTACCAGAATTGTTTTTCTAGTTCCTTCTCATTTGGGTAGACTATGTCAAAGGGAAAGTCTAGGGCTCAAGGCTGTTGTTCAGATTCTTTTGCCCATGGGGTGTTCCCTTGACATAGCACTTTCCCCTTTTCCTAGGGATGTGGCTTCCTGAGAGCTGAGCTGTAGTGATTGTTATTGTTCTTCTGGATCTAACCACCCAGCAGGTCTACCAGGCTCCGGGCTGGTACCTGGGGTTGTTTGCACAGAGTCATGTAATGTGAATCATAGACCATGTGCTTTAAAACAATGTTCTCAATTTATTAAAATTATTTTCCTTCTACAGTGATAGCTTGTTTTTCTAAATTTAGTATCCCTGAGAATATAATTTTAATAAGAAAAAAATTGTGTCTCTTTTTATGTCTGCTTTCTGGGGCTGGAGGTGGATTTGTTTTTGAGTAAGTCCTGTAAGTGATGCATGTTTCCTCATGTGCTTGGTAAAACTTAGTGTTGATGAGGGGTGTCCACACTAAATGGTATTGATAGCTGGAGCATGTATTCTCAGGCAAGAAGAGAAATCCTGTTTGCCTGTAAGTGAATATATTTCCTAATAGTAAAATTTCCTTTAAATGTGTTTGTAATGCAATATTTTTAAAAAACCTGTTATCGCTGGTGACAGAGCAGGAGTATTGCCATCTTGGACAAGCACTGTCATTTTAAGTTCACCTTGATCAAAAACTGCCTAAATCCAAAGGTCATCAGCCTTCTGGCTAAGGTCAGCATGACCATAAACCACAAATAATATCTCTGACCAAAAAAATTCCAAACCTCTCCCCTACCAGAGGCATGCCAGACCCGAGATAATCTCCCCTCCACCCAGAGACAGTCTGACCCCAACATAAACTTCTCCCCCACACAGAAACATTTCAAGCTTGTGATAAACCCCCTCACTCTAAAACCAATGTATACTCTGTTGCTGCTTCTGAATCCTATAACCCCAAAGGGCCTAGCAAGGCCAACATCTCTGCCATTGGCTCCTCAAAACTCTGTCTTCCTCTGCTTTTGAATGTTCCAGTTTGAGAGTAAAATTTAGGTTGAAGACATCTCCCCAACCTGTCTCCTGCTGGTGAGATATTCCTCTACAGTTTAAAGCCCCCTCACGAATGCCCACTCATTTCATTTTATTTTTGTACTTAAATAAAATCAACTTTATATGTATTTTTTAAAATATTTTAATATTTTCAGCTTTATTAGGGTATAAGTGATAAATAGAAATTGTATATATTTAGGGTGTGCAACTTCCTATTTTGATTTATGTATACATTGTGAAATGCTCACCATAATCTAGCTAGTTAACATAGCCATCGCTTCACATAGTGACCTTTTTTTTGTATATGTGTGGTGAGAACACTCAAGATCTGTCCTTTTGGCAATTTCAAGTATTCAATACAATATTTTAAATTATGGTCTCCATGCTGTACTCGCCTACTCATTTTAGGCATGGTCAGGTGATATATAAACTCAAACTATTTCTAAATGTGATCTATTTCCTTTTCTACCATCTTATGGGTAACTATTTGTTGGAATATAATGCCTTCAAATTCCTTTAATATTCCATTTGCTTTCACGTTCTCAGGTGGTTTTTTTTAAATACTTTCTTTAAATATGTTTATGGAGTTCTCCACAGTGAGAGATAGGAAGTTGATAAATTCTAGTTCTAATAAAAGAGGCTTTATTCAAACATATTTTGTCCAACTTTTCCCCACTGTGGGTAATGCCACTTAGGAATTATTCTATCAGAACAGCATCTGACCTAAACCTTGACCTCATATATTACTCCTGCCCCTTGCTAGCCTTAGTAGATCTCATTTTCATTGTTTCTTTTCTATGAGAGCTGACTCTTCAAATATCTTGATTATGTTTCTCTCTCACACTGGAAATACCTGCATCTTTACCTACAACATATATGTGAATCTGAAAATCACGTAATACTATTTCGGCTAATTTTCCTGGTTTTCTCTTCTCAAATATGTGCCCACTTTATATAACTAGTTCCTGGGGAGGGGTCTCTTCTGTTAGTTTTCTGTTATTTGTTTACTTTTTTGGATGTTAGTAGTCACCCTTTCCAATCTAGAAACAAAAACCTCTCTTTTTCAGTTTCTTCTTTCTGAGTAATTAGATGCAGATTCCTTTGATGTGTGCCTAGCCCGGCCTCCAGATTCTCATTTTTCCTGACATTGCTCTCTAGTAAATTCCTCAACCTTTCTCCTAAGAAAGTCTTTCTTCCACAACAGTAACCAGGCCTTCTTGTTTTCCCTTTATTCTCCCATGACTTCCATTCTTATAGTTACATTGAAGAGTACCAAAAAACAAACTAAAATAAAGCAAAAACCGAAAACCCGCCTTTTTCTCCCAGAGACAGTATTCCGAGAATGAAACTTTTTATATTTCTGATTTCCTTTTGAGTTAGTGGTAATTTAATTGAGTTGTTTCAGCCCAAGAAAATAACATACATACTGTATTTAATAAAAAACCCAATTATTTTAAGTGGGTGAAGGTATAGATGAGTAATTTAGGAGTATTAATATAATCAGTAAATTGGAGAGACCATTTGGTGAGTGTGACTCACAGTGTGACAAGGCATATGAATGTAAGAAGTTTCCTTTCATCGAGTTTCCTTCGCCCTGGAAACTGATGCAGGTTAAGTCCTAACGATGCAGGGACTAATGATTTAGGGATTAAAATCTTATGCATTGATAGTCTGTAGCCTAGCATCTAGCTGCCATCCCCCTGTTTTTATTTTCTTAAACAAGCTTTATTTTTAGAACAATTTTAAATTTATAGAAAAATTGTGGAGCTAGCACATGGAGTTCCCATGTGTCTTGCACTCAGTTTCTCCTATCCTACAATACCATGGTATATTTGTTACAATTAATGAACCAATTGTCACATTATTATTAATTAAAGTTCATATCTTATTCAGGTTCCTTTAGTCGTGCCTCATGTATTTTTCTGTCCCAGGACCCCATCCTGGACGGGGATTTATTTATTTTATTTAGATGTTGGGTCTCCTTAGGTTCCTCTTGGCTGTGACAGTTTCTCAGACTTTCCTTGCTTTTGATGACCTTGATGATTTAAAGAATACTGGTCAGGTATTTTGCAGCATGTCTCTTTGTGAAGATGTGTCTGATAATTTTCTCTTGATTAGACTGGAGTTATGGGATTTTTGATTAGAAAGACCTCAGAGGCAAAGTTAATGTGCCATTTTCATCATGTCACATCAGGAGTATATACTATCAACATAACTTGTCCCTTTCTATGTTGTCCTTCGTCACCCAGAGGAGACAGTGTTTGAAAGTCTTTTTCATTGTAAAGTTATTCTTTCCCTCCCTCTTTCCAAGTGTAAGGAGTGGAGAGTTATGTTCCACTTCCTTGAGTATTCATACAAATTCTTTAGAACTATTCTGCATGAGAGGTTCATCTCTTGTCTCTCCCCACTCCCCCCACTTTTTAATGAGCCCTTCCTCACTTTCTGGTTCTACAAGGGATTTCAGGTTCATCTTGTATATTTCCTGCCCCAGTCGTAGAATCAGCCATTTCTCTAAGGAGTCCTAGTTTCTTTTTTCAGATAGTGGCATCAGAAACCAAGATCTGGGTATGCTCATTGCTCTTGTGTGTCTTTGCTTCTAGTCCCTTAGTAACCTGTGTTTATGTACTTATACAGAAATATTTCTTTATGTAGAAATAATTGGTGTTTATATATATCCATATTAAGCTAAACTTAAGTTCATACTGACATCTCCGACTCTGATCCATTAGTACATGGATCATTCCATCTCCCCCTTGCTTATCTGCAAACTCCTGCTCCAACAGTGAGAAACTGCCTGCCATGATCTGCCATCCATTTATTAATTGTTTAATTTTGGTATACATGTGTAAAAACATCAGAATCGTTAACCAATAACTTTATGAGAAACAACTTTATTAACTATACTGCAGTACTTATGTGTAGTTTCTTTGACCTTTAGTTTTACAGACTCCACTTATTTTCAAAGTTATGTAGGCCAGCACTTTTGTCCCTACCGTCTTCAGTGAGAGTTTTTTATACTAACTGTGATACAATTAAGTTATATGGCCATTTTCACGATATTGATTCTTCCTACCCATGAGCATGGAATGTTCTTCCATTTGTTTCTATCTTCTTTTATTTCATTGAGCAGTGGTTTGTAGTTCTCTTTGAAGAGGTCCTTCACGTCCCTTGTAAGGTGGATTCCAAGGTATTTTATTCTCTTTGAAGCAATTGTGAATGGGAGTTCACTCATGATTTGGCTCTCTGTTTGTCTGTTATTGGTGTATAAGAATGCTTGTGATTTTTGTACATGGAACAAACTACTTTAAAGTTCATATGGAACCAAAAAAGAGCCCACATCACCAAGTCAATCCTAAGCCAAAAGAACAAAGTTGGAGGCATCACACTACCTGACTTCAAACTATACTACAAGGCTACAGTAACCAAAACAGCATGGTACTGGTACCAAAACAGAGCTATAGATCAATGGTACAGAACAGAGCCCTCAAAAATAATGCCACATATCTACAACTATCTGATCTTTGACAAACCTGAGAAAAACAAGCAATGGGAAAGGATTCCCTATTTAATAAATGGTGCTGGGAAAACTGGCTAGTCATATGTAGAAAGCTGAAACTGGATCCCTTCCTTACACCTTATACAAAAATCAATTCAAGATGGATTAAAGACTTAAACGTTAGACCTAAAACCATAAAAACCCTAGAAGAAAACCTAGGCATTACCATTCAGGACATAGGCATGGGCAAGGACTTCATGTCTAAAACACCAAAAGCAATGGCAACAAAAGACAAAATTGACAAATGGGATCTCATTAAACTCAAGAGCTTCTGCACAGCAAAAGAAACTACCATCAGCATGAACAGGCAACCCACAAAATGGGAGAAAATTTTCGCAACCTACTCATCTGACAAAGGGCTAATATCAAGAATCTACAATGAACTCAAACAAATTTACAAGAAAAAAACAAACAACCCCATCAAAAAGTGGGCGAAGGACATGAACAGACACTTCTCAAAAGAAGACATTTATGCAGCCAAAAACACATGAAAAAATGCTCACCATCACTGGCCATCAGAGAAATGCAAATCAAAACCACAGTGAGATATCATCTCACACCAGTTAGAATGGCAATCATTAAAAAGTCAGGAAACAACAGGTGCTGGAGAGGATGTGGAGAAATAGGAACACTTTTACACTGTTGGTGGGACTGTAAACTAGTTCAACCATTGTGGAAGTCAGTGTGGCGATTCCTCAGGGATCTAGAACTAGAAATACCATTTGACCCAGCCATCCCATTACTGGGTATATACCCAAAGGAATATAAATCATGCTGCTATAAAGACACATGCACACGTATGTTTACTGTGGCACTATTCACAATAGCGAAGACTTGGAACCAATCCAAATGTCCAACAATGATAGACTAGATTAAGAAAATGTGGCACATATACACGATGGAATACTATGTGGCCATAAAAAATGATGAGTTCATGTCCTTTGTTGGGACATGGATGAAATTGGAAATCATCATTCTCAGTAAACTATTGCAAGAACAAAAAACCAAACACCGCATATTCTCACTCATAGGTGGGAACTGAACAATGAGAACACATGGACACAGGAAGGGGAACATCACACTCTGGGGACTGTTGTGGGGTGGGGGGAGGGGGGAGGGATAGCATCGGGAGATATACCTAATGCTAGATGACAAGTTAGTGGGTGCAGCGCACCAGCATGTCGCATGTATACATATGTAACTAACCTGAACATTGTGCACATGTACCCTAAAACTTAAAGTATAATAATAAAAAATTTAAAAGGTAAAATAAAATAAAAATAAAAATAAAAATAAATAAATAATAAAGAAATTATATTGTCACATTTTGCATTTCATCCTGACATTCTCCCAAACTCTTAAATGATTTTTAAAATTTATATGGATTTTCACTCTTTGAACTGCAAAGTTCAATGCGTTTTGGCAAAGTGTCATTTGGCCACAATTACAATATTGTACAGGATATTTTCACCACCCTAAAAAATCCCTAGTGCTTCACCTATTCAACCCTCCTCTCTCCCTCCCTCCAGGAAACCACTAACCTTCTATTTTTAATCTTCTTTATAGAGTTTTGCAAACATTTTGCAAATATTTACAAGTTGATTATTAATTTATAAGGAGAACCAAAGACCTAGAATAGTCAATATAATACTGAGCAAGAATAAAAGTCGAAAGATTGGAATGACCAAAATCCAGAACACTGACAACACAAAACGCTGGTGAGGATGTGGAGCAACAAGAACTCTCCTTCATTGTTGGTGGAAATGCAACATGGTACAGCCACTTTGGAAGACAGTTTGGTGATTTTTTTATAAAACTAAACTTACTGTTACCATATGATCTAGCAATCATGGTGGAACATCATATAATTAGAATCATAGCATATGTACCCTTTCTATACTGGCTTCTTTTCACTTACAACATGCATTTAAGATTCATCCATGTTCCTTCATAGATCAATAGCTTCTTTCTTTTTCTCAGTGAATAATATTCTACTGTATGTGTACACAACAGTTTTTTAAAATTCATTTGCCTGTTGAAGGACATCTTGATTGCTTCTGGTTTTCGATGATTATAAATAAAGCTGCTATAAACTTGTGCATGTAGGTTTTTGCAGAAACATAAGTTTTTAAATCACTTGAGTGGATAGCTAGGAGTGCACGTGATGAATTACATAGTAAAACTAGGTTAAGCTTTGTAAGAAACTACCAAACTGTCTTCCAAAGTGATCCTATCATTTTGCATTCCCACCAGCAATACATGACAGTTCCTGTTTATCTGCATCCTTGCCAGTAATTAGTATTGTCAGATTTTTTTTCATTTTAGTCATTCTAATAGGCATATAGTGATATCTTATTGTTGTTTTAATTTTCAGTCCGTAATAACATACAACGTGGAACACTTTTTCATGTTTATTTGCCATCTGTATATCTTCTCTGGTTGAGGTGTCTCCTTAGATCTTTTTGCCTATTTAAAAATATTTTTGTAATAAAGACTTTATTTTTTAAAGCAGTTTTAGGTCCCTAGCAAAATTGAGATGAAAGTACAGAGATTTTCCATAGATTCCCTGTCTTCACACATGCATAGCCTCCTTCATTGTCCATATCTCCTAACAGAGTGGTATATTTGTTACATTTGATGAACCTACATTAAAACATCATTATCCCCCAGAATCCACAGTTTACATTAGGATATGCTCTTCATGTTGTACATTCTATGGATTTGAACAAACTTATAATGACATATAGCCACCATTATAGTATCGTGCAGAGTATTTTCATTGCCTTAAAAATCCTTTTGGCTTTAACTGTTCATTCTTCCTTTTCCCTAACCCCTGGCAACCACTGATCTTTTTATAGTCTTTATTGTTATAACCTTTCCAGAATGTCATAGAGTTGGAATCATACAGCCTTTTCAGATTGGCCTGTTTTACTTAGCAATAGGCATTTAGATTTACTCCATGTTTTTTCATGGCTTGATAGTGCATTTCTTCTTAGCACTGAATAGTATTCCATTGTATGAATGTACTGCAGTTTATTCATCCATTCACCTACTAAAGAACATCTTGGCTGCTTCCAAGTTTTGACAAGGATATATAAACAAACATTCATGTGCAGATTTTTGTGTGGGCATAAGTTTTTAATTCCTTTGCATAAATACCAAGGAGTGTGATTGCTAGATCATATGGTAACGGTACGTTTAGTTTTGTAAATGAAATCACCAAACTGTCTTCCAAAGTGGCTGTACCATTTTGCATTTCCACCAGCAATGAAGGAAAGTTCTTGTTGCTCCACATCCTCACCAGTGTTTGGTGTTGTCAGTGTTCTGGATTTTGATCATTCCAACCTTTCAACTTTTTTCTTCTTCAGTATTATGGTGGCTATTCTAGGTCTTTGCTTCTTCTTATAGTCTTGGCTTGTGGTCTTCCCTGAGAAATATTACAGGAGGTAAAAATCATTTCATCCATCTGAAATGGTACTCTTGTTGTGGGTTTTAATGGGACTGAAGTGCTAGTTCTCTAACATTATATACCTTTTCCAAGAGCTTTGAAATGCAAAGCTAAGTTTCAGTGAGTCAAGGTAATGCCAGCCACAGTGGTCTCACATCAGTAACAGAGGACCTCACACCAGGACCTTAGAAACCTTCCTTGTAAAGATCATAAAGTTCTCACACTAAAGCTTCAGTGGCCTTGTAGTAAGGCCATGAAGGTCTCTCACTAGAGCCACAGAGATTTCTTACCAAGTTCTAAATGTCCCCTTAGCTTTTTGGCTCATATGTGCTTCTTCACTTAGAAACCCAAGTTTTGCATTACTTCCAAGCAGGTTCTTCTAATTTCAACGAATGGAAACTGTAGAGTTTGCCTAAGAATTTGCTGTCATTTTAATAGAGTAAAAAAAAAACACAGGATTATTTCATGTTACTCTTTATGTTTTACTTATGAGCCCAAATAGTGATTAGCAGTCTGTCTGTACTAGTCTTCTGGCTTTTGATGATGGGAAAGTAAGGAGTCCAATAGGATGTTTTGTTTTATCTGATAGGTTCTTAATCTTTAAATGCAAGGTATCAATTTGTAACCACTTCTGCTCCAATGATCTCACAGAAGATAGAAATAATTATTACTTAATTCCTGGTCTTGGACCTGGGTGTTAATGACTGTTAATATAACTAATATTTGTACATAGTTTAAAAGTTTACAATCATTTTTACATAATCTATGTTTCTTAATATGTAATTTTGTGACCTAAGAATTTTATGCTCCATTTTAAGAAAACTGCCCATAAAAGCCACTAGTAAGCTGTTAAGTACTAAATGCATTTATTTATCGTAAGGGAAGAAGCTAAGGTTCAGAGAAATAGGTAGTAAAGAAGCTGTTCTCACTTCCAGGCACCACCCACTGCTTTCCATGGTATTCAACATCCTGCCCTACCCTTTTATTCTTTTCCCAAAGGAGTGAACAAAGCAAAGTGCCAGCAGACATCAAGATCTGGAGGCACAGAGTAGAAATCCAGTTCACTGACTCTGGCTTGCCTGATTGTGCAGGGATTGGTCTATTAGATCTGACACAAAGCACAATGGGAATGTGGCATTTAGGACACAGAGGGCGCCTGTTCCCCAGGTAGGAGGAAAGAATTCAATATACTCAGCTGCAAATATCAGCCTCTTAGTCAAGCATTGGGGTTTCTGTGGAAGATAAAAAAGAAAGTAATATGCAAAAGGTCTTGCTGATGCCTGAAATGTGGCATTTTACAAGTATTAGGAACCCAGATTCTGGAGCGAGAGGGTCTGTGTTTGAATCCCAGACCCAACCTTACTAGCTTTGTGACCTTGGGCAGCTTACCTAACCATTTGTGTGCTTTGGTTTTTCTTTTCTATAAAATAAGGAGTGTTATAATACTTTTTTTTTTTTTTGAGATGGAGTTCCGCTCTTGTTGCCCAGGCTGGAGTGCAATGGCACTCTCTTTGCTCACTGCAACCTCCACCTCCCAGGTTCAAGCAATTCTCCTGCCTCAGCCTCCCAAGTAGCTGGGATTACAGGTTCCTACGACCACATCTGGCTAATTTTTTTTGTATTTTTAGTAGAGATGGGGTTTCACTATGTTGGTCAGGCTGGTCTCGAATTCCTGATCTCAGGTGATCCACGCACCTGGGCCTCCCAAAGTCCTGGGATTAAAGGCGTGAACCACCCCGTGCCCGGCCTGATTGTTAGAACACATTAATTACATTACCCATAAAATAATTTAATGACTTAAATTAATCAGTATTGTAAATCACTTAGAACAGTGCCTGGCAATGCTATTTATTATTATTGTTGTTGTTATTATTCTACCATGAGAGTTGAGGATGAAGATTACTGTGCTAAGTGGAAACATTTGACTAGAAATTAAAAAAAATCAAACAATACTCTTACCCTGGGCCATGAGAGTCTTCTCTGGGTCAATTTATATAAATTAAAACATTAGTTATTCCAATAAAAAATTTCTAGTTCATTTCTACATGTACATTTTATATTTCATTGGTATTAAACTATTTGGTCTATAGGGTCAGGATGATGGAGGAAATTCAGAGATATTTTGTCTAATACCAAACCTGGAATTTTCAGTGCACGGGAGAGTTAAATAAACACATAAAGGCTTAAAAATTACGGTTGTTGAAACTGAAGCCAGTTTTTCAAACTATGGTTCTTAGTGCCAGCAGTTTCTCTTAGTTTCTCTTCTATAGCTGATTATACCAGAGGCAGGAGCTATGTTGTGACATTGTACCTCCACTGTTATTTAGGATTATATAGTGAGAAAACTGAAGCCTGCAATCACAAAATCTGTAGCGCATTGAATTCAAAAAATAGAAAATAGGAATAGAGAGACTTCTGTTGTCTTCGGAGTATATTTTGTCAGTTATACTCGCACTGTCTGGTTATACTTGCATTGACTCCTTTTAGGAAAAGGAGGTGAAAATCAGAATCCTAGCCATATGGATTTTAGACTGAGGAAGTATTATAGCAAACATTTAGTTCAGTCATGTTTAAACAACTTTTTGGTAATTTTTTAGTCCCGATATAATTTCAGAAGTACAGAAAAGTTACAACAATAGTAAGAATAACTACTCTTAGCCTGTACCCAGGTTCACTAATTGTTAAGTTTGCCCCATTTGCCATCTCATTTGTGTTCTCTCTCCCGCTCACACACACACACACACACATATACACATATATATTTTTCAAAGCATTTGGGAGTAAGTTGCAACACGATGCTCCTTTACTCCTAAATACTTGGATGTGTATATTTTGGAACAAAGACATTCTCTTATATCGTCACATGCCATGATCAAAAGCAATAGGTTTAGGTTTAACACAGGACCCACTCATTATCTAATCCACAGTCAAATGTAAATTTAGTTAATTGTCCTGATAATGCCCTTTATAGACAAATTATTTTTCCTGGTCCAGGATCCAATCTGGAGTCATGCCATGCATTTATTTGTCATGCTTCTGTGGTTTTCTTTAATCTGGATCAGTTTCTCAGCCGTCCTGTCTCTTTCATAACCTTGACATTTTTGAAGGATATGCCAGTTGTTATTTAGAGCATCTCCTGATTTTGTGTATCCCTGAGATTTCCACATGATTAGATTTAGGTTTTTCTTTTCTTTTCTTTTCTTTTTTTTGAAAAACACCACAAGAGTGATACTGTTTCTTTTTCAGTGAATCAGTATCAGAAGGTAGATGATACTGGTTTGTCTCAATATTGGTGATGTTAGCTTTGATCTCTTGGTTAATGTGGAGTTTGTCAGGTTTCTCTGCTTTAAAATTACTATTTCCGTGTTTATAATTAAAAGTAATTTGTAGGGAAAAACTTTGAGACTATGCAAATACTCTGCTTAGCATTAAAATTTCACCTATTAATTTTAGCATCCATTGATGATTCTTGTTTAAGCAAATTATTAATTACTATGATAGTTGTAAGAAACAGTTATTTTTTAACTGTATCATTTCTTCAACATTCAATAATTGGCTTTATAAAGTAGATTTCCTTTAATCATTTATTCCAGTTTGCATTTTTAGCTTCATATTTTATTTGGAGAAAATTAATTCTATAATTATTAGAATTCTATGTAATTATGGAATTCTATAGTTCATTGGTATTATGACATATTCATACTATTAATGTTCAAATTATCCTGCATTTGGCCAATGGGAGAGCTTCAAGCTGGCTCCTGAGTCTTTTTTTTTTTTTTTTTATAGTATATCCTTATTTTGCATCCCAAAAAAGAATCAAGAATTAGCTTGTGCTTTTACTGCCATAGGCCTGAAATCAGCTATTTTTCCAGGGATCCCTAGATCCTTTGGGATCTATTTAGAGTGCAGAATGCTATTTCGAAAACAGTATCTGGGAGGTAAAGGTGCTCATTATTAACTGTGATATTCTTTCTTTTAGGCAGACAGAGCTAGGAAACACATAAAATATATATATATATATATATATTTTTTTTTTTTCCTTCTCTATTAAAAACTGAATTCATACTGATAACTTCATGATATGGTCTGGCTCATCTTGAGCCAAACCCACCCAAATCTCATCTTGAATTTTAGTTCCCATAATCCTCATAAGTCTTGGGAGGGAACTGATGGGAAGTAATTGACTCATGGGGGCAGTTCCCCCCATGCAAATCTTGTGATAGTGAGTAAGTTCTCATGAGATCTGAAGTTCTCATGAGATCCATGTGAAGAAGGAAGTGTTTGCTTCCCCTCCCACCACGATTGTAAGTTTTCTGAGGTCTCCCAGTCCTGCAGAACTGTGCGTCAATTAAACCTCTCTCCTTTATAGTTTACCCAGTCTTGGGCAGTTCTTTATAGCAGTGTGAGAACAGACTAATATTCTTCAATTCCAATTCAAGACCACATGCTACTCTTGCCCTTTCTACATTTACAGTTCCCTTCAAGAAACTTGGCTTCCATTATGCTTAATATATTTACAGTCATCCCTCAGTGTCCACAGTGGATTGGTTCCATGACCCCTGTGGATACCAAAATCCTCAGATGTTCAATTAGGTTTGGCAGATGTGAGGATGTGATACTGTGAAATATGCATTTGGTCTTCCTCCCCAGTTTCCTAACATACAACTCCTAAAATCCTTGTACTCTCCAAAGTGCTTGCTTTTTTTTATACTTATATTGACTGATAACTTCAGAGTGAGGCTGGTCACCAGAATGACCAAAGACAATATTAGAGGGTTGAGACCTTCAGCCCCATCCCCCAACCTCCAGGGAGGGGAGAAGGGCTGAAGGTCAAGTTGATCACCAATGGCCAATGGTTTAATCAATCATGCCTATGTAACCTCCACAAAAACACAAGAAGACAGGCTTGGAGAGCTGCCAGGAGGGCAGTATGCACAGGGAGGGCGTGGAAGCTTCAGGCTCCTTCCCCCATTAATGCATCTCTTCAACTGTATCCTTAGTAATATCCTTTATAATAAACTGGTGAAGGTTAAAAAAGAAAAACAAACCCACAGAAATGCATGGCTGACTGTATACATTTGTCCCACCTTAGAATATCAAAAAGTAGTTTTAGAATTGCTAATCCATATCACTGGAGGGTAGGGGATAACATTAACTAGAGCTTAATATTTATTTAGTATTTTTTTTTTGTCTTTAGACTTGGGGAGTATAGTCCAAGTACTATGTTGCAAGATAAGTCAGTTACTTTTTTCTTTCAGTTTGGTTATGCTATTCATTTGCAATATTTAAGTTTATTTGTTTTTTTTTTGTTTTAAAATTCTACTTTATTTCATGTTACCATCCTTGTTGATTTTAGGCACTTTTGAGTACATGAAACATTAACATGGTACCCCCAAATCAAAACTATGTAAAATCGTGTACTCTCCCAATCCTCAATCCCTTAAATTCCATTCCCACCCACTTCCTGTAGGTAACCAATCTTATTAATATCTATTTTAGCTCTCCTGTATTTCTTTTTCCTTTCTTTTCCTTTTTTCTTTTTTTGACAGAATCTTACTCTGTTGCCCAGGCTGGAATGTGGTGGTATACTCTTGGCTCACTGCAACCTCTGCTTCCTGGGTTGAAGTGATTCTTCTGCCTCAGACTCCTGAGTAGCTGGGACTACAGGCACACAGCATCACACCTGGCTAATTTTTGTATTTTTAGTAGAGATGGGGTTTTACCATATTGGCCAGGCTGATCTAGATCTCCTGACCTTGTGATCTGCCAGCCTTGGCCTCCCAAAGTGCTGGAATTACAGGAGTGAGCTACCATGCCTGACCAGCTCTCATGTATTTCTTTATGCAAAAATAAGCATATTTATGGATATATTCTTATGTCCCTTCTTTTTTTTTTTTTTTACAAAAATGGTGGCGTATATGCATTTCCCCTTTGCTTTTTCTACTTTACAATGTACCCTAGAGAACGTTCCACATCAGTTCATAGAGATCATCCTCATTCTTTTTTATAGCTGCTTAGTACTTCCTTACGTAGACATACCATAGTTAATTTAACCACTCTCCTATGTATGGGCAATTAGGTTGTTTCCAATATTTTGTGAGTACAAACAATGCTGTAATGAGTAAGTTTGTCCATGCTTATTTCTTTGTTAGTGGTACATGTTTAGAATAAATTCCTAGATGAAGAAATGCTGGATCAAAAATAAACACACATGCAGTTTTGTTAAATATTACTCATTTTCCTTCTGTTAAATAAAATGTATGGTAGGTCATTGTTTTGGGTTGAATTCCTGCACTAGCCCCCAACAGGACAAACCAAAATGGAGTCACTCTTGACAAGAGCCATGTAGTCAAACTGAAACTTTAAAAAACAGGAAAATCTCCCATCAGGCCAAATTTTCCAAAAAAAAAAAATCCCCAAAAAAACAAAAAACAGGAGATTCACAGTAACCAGTTAAAAAGGTCCCAGTAAACCTAGGCTGGCATGATATGAAAGTACCCCTTGTTTTAACCCTTTCAAGGAAAGTAACCCTAAGTTAACCAATCCACTTTGTTGTATTATGCTATTTCCTTGTTTCTGCTCAAACTCCCTTACACATATTAATCGTTCTGCTATGCCCATGGAGCATTTTTCTGTTTTATAGATGGAATGCAGCCCAATTCATAATTGATAATAAAAGCCAATTAAATCTTTGAAATCAGTTTGTTGAAATTTTGTTTTTTAACATCTCTAAAAGCATTATACTGATTTGCAAACACCAGCAATGAATGTTTTTATTTCTTATTTCACTAACAAAATAGGTTGACAAGCTTTTAGAACTTTTTGCCAACGTGACAAATGAGGCACAGTTTTAATTTGCTTTTCTCTTATAAGTGAATTCAAATGTCTTTTTATATGGTTAAGGGCCATCTAGCCTGTTTATAATGACCTAGAAGAATAATATCTTCTTTGTCCTCCACAGAGGAAGATTCTCAGTGCCTATCCATAAAGTTTTGGTTTTTCACATGCCACTTTCATCTCTATTTATTAATTGGCACTTAGCCTACTTAATGGGTTGAGGTAAACATTTGCTGGGGCTTTTTGGAAACAGAAGCATGAGACTTTGGCAAAGATCCTGAAATCATTCATTCTGAAAAACCATCATATTAAAATGAAAATTTTGTCATGGTTTCCAACTTAATGCACAAAGTTATTGTTGTATTTTGTTACTGGGATGCCTAATGTGTTGATTAAGAAATGTCAATCTTACTGGACCAGCTACATCAGAATAAAGATTGGGGGTATCTTAAACAAAATAAAATTCTTAAGCCCTAACTGTAGAGATTCTGATTTATGAGATCATAGTTTAGACCCTATAATCTGTATTTTTAGCAAGTTCCTCAGTGATTCAACCAGTAGCAATGTTTGGATGTTTGGAAATCATTGCAACACTTGGAGGTAAACTACTTAGCAATTAGCAAATGGAATCAGTGATTCTGCCTAGTTATATCCCAAAGAGATGAACTTATGTAATCCAGAATTCTATATGATATTATGATATGATATTTCCTCCTTTTATATCCCCTGGCAACCACCATTCTACTTTCTGTCTCTACAAATTTGACTATTGTAAGTGCCTCATATAAGTGGCATCATATTTGTGCCTGGCTTATTTCTCTTAGTGTAATGTCCTCAAGGTCCATCTGTGTTGTAGCATGTGTCAGAATGTTCTTCCTTTTTAAGACTGGGTATATTCCATTCCATGTTTATACCACATTTTGTGTATATATTCATTTGTCAATGGACACTTGGGTTGTTTCTGCCTTTTGGTATTGTGAATAATGCTGCTATGAACATGGGTGTGCAAATATCTAAGTCCTTGTTTTCATTTCTTTTGAGTATATATCTAGAAGTAGAATTACTAGATTGTATGGGAATTCTGTGTTTCAGTTTTGGAGAACCCATCACACCATTTTCCACAACAGCTGCACCATTTGCTGTTTACATTCCCACAAACAATGTACAAAGGTTCCAATTTGTCTCCATGCTTGCCAATACTCCTTCCTTCCTTCTTTCCTTCCTTCCTTCCTTCCTTCCTTCCTTCCTTCCTTCCTTCCTTCCTTCCTTCCCTCTTTCCTTCTGTTGCAGTTTTTCTGCTCCTTAGCTTAGCTAGGTCCAAGTTCTTGTCTCACAACCAGGAAGTAGGCACACAGACACTGGAGAGTGAGTGAAGTAGAAATTATTAAGCAAAAGGAAAGCTCTCAGCAAAGAGGGGATGCTGGGGTGGGGGTTCCCCTACCCGATGGTGGGAAGTCCCCCACGTGGCTGGGTCCAGGGCTTTTTATGGATTCAGAATGGGGAGTGCACGCTGATTGGTTTGTGAGTATGCCAAAATGGTTAAAGCAAGGACACCACTCATAAGTGGGCACAACAGTGTAGAAAACCAATTAGGAAAGGGTAGGTGTATGTAAAACAGGTGAAAGGTGAGGATCAATCAGAGGAAAGTGAACCAAACAGGAAGACAAGTTATCAATCCCATCTGAAATTCAGCTTGTAGCTTGGCTTTCAGGCTTTAAACTGTCTTCTGCTTGGAGGTGGGGTTTCACTGGGTACCCACTCCTATCTGCCTAGGCATTTGGCTGCCTCCTGCCACTCTCACTTATTTCCCCTCTCTCCCTCCCTCCACCCTCCCTCCCTCCCTTCTTTCCTTCTTTCCTTCCTTCCTTCCTTCCTTTCCTTCCTTCTTTTCTCTCTTTTTTCTTTTCTTTTCTCTTCCCTTCTCTTCTTTTTCTTTTCTTTTTTTCTTTCTTTTGATAAAGCCATCCTAATGGGTATGAAGTGGTATCTTACCGTGGAGTTGCATTTCCTTAATGACTAGTGATGTTGAGCATCTTTTTATGTGTTTATTGGACATTTGTATATCTTCTTGGAGAGTGTCTTTGTTCTTTATGAAGATTATTTTGCCTACTTTGATTATTTTGTGTACCTTGAATGTCCATATAAATTTTAGTTGAGATTTTTCTATTTCTGCAAAAACGTTGTGGGATTTTGAATTTTTAGATTGCTTTAAGTAGTACTGACATTTTAACAATATTAAATCTTCCAGCCCATGAACACAGGACGTCTTTCCAGTAAATTTGTATTGTTTTAAGACAGTAAATATGTAGTAAGTTGTTTCAGCAGCAATAAAAAAACTAACACACTGATCAAATAAGTAAATCCATGTTCCATGTGTTCAGTAGTTTAACTGATTTTTTTAATCATGTAAAGATGAAAAGTGTAAATTATTCACCATTAATGTCTGTGACTTCCCACTCATCTCCCCTTACCATAAGCCCATCCTCCAGTCTTGCTGCTGGGAACTCTTCTGCTGTCATTTATGGAGAGAGCCCACGGATCTCCAGCTATCCTGGCTGGGCCTCAGAGCTGTGAGTGGGGCTACTCAAGGTCATACAGTCCCAACTGAGCCGGCCTAGAGGGGAAGGGCCCAGCCAGCCCACAGAATCAACTGTGAGAACGGTCATACATGCTTGTTGTTTTAAGCCACTGAGTTTTGATGTGGTTTGTTATGCTGTAACTGTTAATTGATACATTCTCTCTTCAAATAGGCTTTTTCCAACTGCCCTAAACAAAAAGTCCTCTGGCCTTTAGAATTAGTACGTCCAGGCATTCTGCTTTGTTTCCTTCAAAGCCCTTATACATATCTGAAAGTTTACTTTTACTTTATTTCTTTGGTTGTTTATTTTATGCATTCATCAAGGAGGATAGAAACTTCACCTTCACAGGGACCTGGTCTGACTTGTGTCTTGTGAGGCCACCAGCAACTGTAACAGATCCCAACACTTTGCTCAGTAAATATTTGTTTAAAAACAGCCTGAATTAATAATATGGCTCTGCCGCTTTTCAAATAGTGTTTATTTAATGAGATAAAACTAGGTTTATAATAAATTACATTTTAAAACCAATTTTCCTCATAATCAATGAAACTCACTCCTAGATCTTTTTTCAATATGTCCAAGCTATTGTTGATGTTCAAGATGCTTGTGATTTGTGCTTTTATTGTGGCTTTATAAATATATTTGCTGGAGTTTAAGAAAAACTGTATCAGAGGTTGCTTCTAAATTATAGGGTTTGTTGTTGTTGTTGTTGCTTTTTTTGTCTGTTTTGTTTTTGTTTTTCATTTTTTTGAGACAGAGTCTTGCTCTGTCACCCAGGCTGGAGCTCAGTGGTGCAACCTCAGCTCAATGCAACCTATGCCTCCTGGATTCAAGAGATTTTTGTGACTCAGCCTCCTGAGTAGCTGGGATTACAGGCATGTGTCAGCACACCCAGCTAATTTTTGTATTTTTTGTAGAGATGGGGTTTCTCCATGTTGGCCAGGCTGGTCTTGAACTCCTGGCCTCAAGTGCTCCTCCTGCTTCGGCCTCCCAAAGTGCTGGGATTACAGGCATGAGCCACCGTACCTGGCTCCAATTATAGTTTTAAACGAGAAATTGTCTTATGGCTTCTTAATACTTGAGGTAGTTTATCTTGTCACTTATTTAGCTTTATAGATTCATCCTTGGAAAGTTTAATTTTCCTAAAATCCTTTTCTGCAACTTAAAAATATTGTCAGTAGGTGGCACTCCTGACCCACAACTTGTTATTCTGAATTGCTACAAGAAGCGATTACCTATTGATTTTTGTTCTCTGCAGTCCTCACAGAGCTTCACACCAGCTGGTCTCTCTGCAGACTCAGCCAAAAACAATCTGCTATGACAGCCTTCTTAGTTTTGTATACTGCTATCTTGTTTCTGAATCCAGCTCTCCAGACCTTGGGTTTGGAGAGTCACTGAGATTGGGACTATATGGATTTCAGTCAGAGGGAAGATCCCTCCAAGGCCCTGAGGCTGGAGGGGCCCTGAATGCTTGGGAAACAGCATGGAGTGCAGTGGGGCAGGGGAGGGGTGGGTGAAGGGGAGAGTGCTTGGTGAGGAGGTCAGATGGGGGCTGAGGTAGAGGGTGGTGGACAGATCATGCTGGATCTTGCAAACAGCAATGAGAGCTTTGGATTTCACTCTGAGTGATACAAGGAACCACTTGGAGGGTTTTGGGCAGGGTGCTGACATGATATGACCTGCATATGAATGGGACCACTCTGTAGGGGCTAGCTCAGCAGCAGGAGGCCAGTAGGGAAGCTTCTACAATAATCTAGGTGAGACATGATGGTGGCTTGGGCCGCCACTATCCCAGCTGGTGATGGCAGTGATGATGGGGGCAGATTTCTCCTTTTGGTGCTGTTCTTGTGATAGAGTTCTCATGAGATCTGGTTGTTTAAAAGTGTGTGGCATCTTCCCCTTCTTTCTCTTCCTCCTGCTCTGGATATGTAAGATGTGCCTGCTGCCCCTTTGCCTTCTGCCATGACTGTAAGTTTCCTGAGGCCTCCCCAGCCATGCTTCCTGTACAGTCTGAGGAACCATAAGGCAATTTAACCTCTTTTCTTTATAAATTATTCAGTCTCAGGAATTTCTTTATAGCAGTGTGAGAGTGGATGAATACAGCATGCCACCATGTCTGGCTAATTTTTAAAATTTGTTATAGATGGGTTCTCACTGTGTTGGCCAGGCTGGTCTTGGACTCCTGGCTCCAAGCAGTCCTCCTGCCTTGGCCTCCCAAAGCACTGGGATCACAGGCATGAGCAACTGCACTTAGTAACACTAGTTTTCTTGATCTTGTTGGATTGGCTTGGTTGGCAAAAATTATTTCCTTTCCCATTATATGATTAACTGTTATGTTTAATTTCCAAAGTTAATATAGTATTACATATTTGTTTTATCATTATGGTAATTTTAAGAGATACCTTTAAAGATTTCCTGGAATTCCATGCATATATATCCATTTCCTGAAACTCTGTATCTCAGTTCCCTTATGTGTAAGATGGAGACAATGATGATACCTATTACTAGGACTATTGTGAGGATTAAATGAAATAAGACATGTAGAGTGATTGAACAGTGTTTTGCTCACAGAGTTCAATAAACGTCAACTCTTGTTTGTATTTTTATTACTGTGAGAGATGTAATGTATCTGAAATTAGCTTAGATCATGCAATTATCTTACAGCAACAATCCTAATGACTACTCTATATACTGCTGTGGCCTTAATGTAGAATGAAAGGTAGAAACAAAATTTTAATAATATGGCAGGTATAAGGTAAATGGGGCATCAGATATTAGGGTGAATAGAGATAAAAGCTGTTTGTCTCAAGCACAAATGATAAAGAAGCATATTGCTTATAAAGGACTTAAAACTGTAATGCAATCAATGAAAAGTTAGTCTACTTTTTATTATTATGACAGATTTGCAAGTCAGTGATAGAATACTTCTCTTATTGAGAGAAGACGGTTCCTATCTCCTTCTCTTTTGTTATGCAACATGTACAGGGCATAGAAGACATCTTTTGCCACCTAAGTTTGCCTACAGCTATTATCGGATATGATCCTCTTTATATGAGACTTTAAACTGTGCCTAATACAGCACATGGTATGGCAGGGGTTCAGTCTATATTTAAAAATTGATGTCTTTTTTCTTGAACCCAGGTAAACATTGAAAAATATTTATCTGCATAACTCACTACATAATAAATATTACACTGCTCCAATTCATAAATCATTTCCAAAGGACTCTTAGTCTGTTGCATATTCCTTACTGATGGTGATAAAAATTATTCAGTTTATTCATTTATATTTCTAACATTAGAAGTTCGATGCATAGTCTTTGTATTAGACTACTGCTAAAGACTCAGTAAATCATCTTGAGACATCTACATCATTTGGAGATGGGGCATGCAAAATTTAGAAAACTACTTGTCTTCAATTTGCATCTTTAGTAAAGAGAAACATATTTTAGTCACAATCTAATGTGGAAATCACAATCTAAGGGCATATTGGAAGATCATATGTAGAACTTGGGTTGAAAACTATGTCGAATTTTAGGGACAGGAGTACTTCCTGATTGAGGATTCAGAGATAAGAGTGATGGGTAGGAGACATTTATGAATACCAAATAACAGATGTATGTATTAACTACAATAAACGATTGGTGAATCGATGTTTGATTATTCAGAACTTACATTGCAAATTCAAGTGGGGCGTTCTTTCTGGAGCTATGACAAAGGCAGTGTAAAGTATCTCTACGACTGTAACCATGGTGGAATTCACAATAAGAATTTCAGGGACTGGCCGGGTGCAGTGGCTCATGCCTGTAATCCCAGCACTTTGGGAGGCTGAGGTGGGAGGAACACTTGAGGTCAGGAGTTTTCGCCAACATGGTGAAAACCCGTCTCTACTAAGAATACAAAAATTAGTGGGCATGGTGGCGCAGGCCTGTAATCCCTGCTATTTGGGACGCTGAGGCAGGAGAATCGTTTGAACCCAGGAGGCAGAGGTTGCTGTGAGCTGAGATTGTGCCACTGCACTCCAGACTAGGTGATAGAGTGAGACTCTGTCTCAAATAAAGAAAAAAAATATTCATGGACTGGATGGATTTAATTGGCAAACTTAATTGACTGGGCTGAGAACCAGATTTGTTTGATGGATTTCATCCTCTCAAGCTTGGCCATATGCAGAACACTTTTGCTCGGGTGTTGCTATTAGATGTACTTATAATGACTATCCAAATATAGATGCCGTTAATCATAACCTAATTAAAATTATAACAATATTTGACATTCTCAGATTAGTTTCAAAGCAGTTAGGTATCTGGTTAGCCTCATATCTCAGTATTTTTTATTTGCTTAAAGTAGCACTTTTCCACCATGCAATTTTCCTCTGGCTGAAGTGGAGGATTAGCAGGGCTGTTTTTACATTCTTAATGATCTTCTTGTTTTTCTACATATCCATCATTTCAATGATTAAGATCAAATTATTTCTGGATCAATGTTGATATAAAATATAACAGAAACTCCTATTGGAAGGTCGGTGTGAATGAAGCCCACCTTCCTGTTGACCAGATGCTCATTAACCTGGAGTTGTCTATTCACTTTACCATTTCTCCTATCTAATGTTCCTTGTTTGTTATCTCCCTAAGGGGAAACACTGTACAGCTGTAGTGATAGGCGACTGGCTCCAGAGACCCAGGACAGAGGCCTATGTGAGAGCCATGAACATTATGATTGCTTTCTTCTTCCACCTTCTCTACAGTTTGGGAACTTCCCTTTCATCCATCAGCTACTTTCTATGCAAGAGGAAAATAGTGGCACTAGGTGCCTACCTATCCATTAAGTCACTCATTTATCCTGATTATGGAAAACAACAAGGTTAGAAAAGCCCTTTAAAGATTGCCGTGTCAATTTAAAAATGCTTCAAAGTAGCAAAAAGAGGAAATCCTTAACTCCATATACAGACTTAAAAACTTTCACCTTATTTGTTTTTGTCTTTGAGCACCAGTGAATTTTCAAAGAATTGTCAGAACTGTATTTCAGATAACCATAGGCAGCTTTTAACCTATGGGCAACAAGCAGAAACAAAGGTTTCCTTTCTCCAGTTAGAAGGTAATAAAGTAGTATTCACAGATTTCTGAAGAGAAACAAGTGTAAATCTTATATGTTCAGCCATTTTATCATTGAAGTGTGAGGGTAAAATCAAGTCATTTATGGACAATGCCATGGCTCAGAAATACTGCGACACTTGCATCTTTCCTGAAAAAAATTGAGCCAAGTCAAGATAAAACAACCAATAAAAGGCACAGCATGGCAAATAAGCAGCAGTGGTGAGTGAGCACTCAAACCAGCAAAACTTTTACTTGTTTAAACAATTTTTGTTTATGTGGTTTTGAATTTTATTTAAAAATATAAGTAAATGAATTATATGACTAATAATGTAAAGAACCATCAGCAGTAGTTTGGAAGTAAATTCTAGATGTTTTCAACAAAATCTAAGAGCTAGGAAGAGCTCTGGGAGAAAATAATTTTATAATAAATGAGGTCCTCTTGGAGCAGGAGTATTATAATCAATCTTGTTAAATTTGCTATGTTTACTGAAAATTATGAATTTAATTCGCTTTATAAACACTTCAATGATAACTACTAGTAGATTAGAAATACGGGTAAGAACTTTTTTTTTTTTAACCACTGGAGTGACAAGAAAAGGCAGTATAAAGTCTTGGTCAGCTCAGCAAAGTCAGGAAAGAAAATAAATCGAAAGCAAAATAAACAAGAAAAGACAAAAATAAAATATCAATCATAAGATCAAATGTACTAATCAGTACTACAAATGGTTTAATTCCATTACATCTCTCCCATAAGTGGTCTGTAGCTGGATTTGTATGAAGAAGTCAAATCCAACGATAAACTATTTATAACAACAAAAAAAAGAGATAGGGATATAAGTATCACATACAAGCACACAAAAATAACAGAAGACTGAAAGTTTTAATATCAGACAAACTAATAAGTAAATGAACAACTGCCATGAACAGTTATATGGATATTTGCAAAATATGTGTCTATATATTAAGGCAAACCATACCAAATATACTCTCCAAATTTGATATAAAAATCCATCTAGTTAGCTGCACATAGTGGCTTATGCCTGTAATCCCAGCACTTTAGGAGGCTGAGGCGGGAGGATTGTTTGAGATCAGGACTTTCAGACCAGTCTAGGCAACATAGCAAGACTCTGTTTCTACAAAACATAGAAGAAAATAGCTGGGCATGGTGGTGCGTACCTAAAATCCTAGGTACTCAGGAGGAGGAGGATTGTTTGAGCCCAGGCAGCTGAGGCTGGACTGAGCCATGGTTGTGCCACTGCACTCCAGCCTTGGTGACAGGGCAAGACCCTATCTCAAAACATCTCACAGATGTTTGTACCCATCTGTGTATTTTAGCTTCTGAAAAATGATGATTCATTTTTAAATAGTTAAATAAAAATATATTTCTCAAAATATATAAAGAAAAGAAAAGGAAATTTAGATAAAAACAGAGAGCCATGGTTCTTTTCTGGGCCATATTACATTCATACACACAGCAAATAAATCACGGAAGAGTGGATATATATAAGAAAATTAGTGACAGTGTCCAGTTGCATTTCAGATGACAACAGCACACAATTATTAGCTTCATTCTTTCACATTGTAGCCATTACAAAACTGTTACGTTTAATTAAAGGACTGAAAACTTTTTAATCTTCTAAATGGCTGTAATGCCACCACTTTGAAGTTTTGTTGTGCTAGTTAAATGGCACAATGTATAAAAATGCCTGGCACTGTGCTTTGCACATGCTGAGTGCTCAATAACAGACGCCAATATTATTTTAAAGAGACCTTGCCCTATCTGAATTTTCCAAATAAGTGCTAATAAAGCTTTTGTTTATCACCTAGGCCCAGAGTAGAATTTTATACTCTTGATTCACAGTAAAACAGAATTTAAATTTCATTTATAATTATCAAAACTTGTTAGGATGAGAAAAAGTAAAGCAGATATTATCCTATATAACTGGAATTTTCTTCTACAGTACCTTGGTATTCATTGAAAATAGTTGGATTTCAATAACAGGTATGAGTTGCCTCAATTTTTAAAAATTAACTAAAATTAACTATATGCAAGTTGTATGACTCACTTAGAAAACCAATGTTTGCTTTCTTAAATATGGCTCCTTGAGCCAATAGTAATTAGATCCCCCTTCCTTATGCCTATGAAATAACAAGAAATAAATCAATGGAGACAATCACTTGCCCTCACACCCTAACACATACCCTTAGAGAGAGACCAGAGAAAAGTTAGTTTGGTTCTCATGAACAGAAGCAGATGGAGGTGGAAGGAGCCATGTTCACTAGATATAACATGATTGATGTTAAAAAAAAAATCAGTAGAATGGAACTCTGATATCTAGCTCTACTATGCTCCCCCAAGAGATGATGAAGATCTGAGTCCAAAGCACCCAAGACCTGGTTCTCATGCAACCATTTAACACTGTGTCAGCTTTAAATTACATCTGTCCCAAGAATGGTCCTCAGACCCAGCAGTAGGGCCAGAGATGAATGGAAACCCACCTACATTGTTGAGGATGATCTTCTTTTCTCAGTCAACCAATTTAAATGCTAATCTCTTTCAGACAGCATCACAGACACACCCAGAAATCACGTTTTAAGTTCAGGGGTACAAACACAGATTTGTTTCATAAGTAAGCTTGTGTTGTGGGGGTTTGTTGTACAGATTATTTTATCACCCAGGAATTAAGCCTAGTACCTAATAGTTATTTTTCTGATCCTCTTCATCCTCCCACCCTCCACCCTCCAAGAGGCTTCAGTGTGTGGTGTTCCCCTCTATGAGTCCACGTGTTCTCATAATTTAGCTCCCACTTATAAGTGAGAACAGGCAGTATTTGGTTTTCAGTTTCTGTATTAGTTTGCTAAAGATAATGGCCTCCAGCTCCATCCGTATCCCTGAAAAGGACATGATCTTATTCTTTTTTATGGCTGCATAGTATTTCATGGTGTATATGTACCACATTTTCCTTACCAGTCTATCATTGATGGGCATTTGGGTTGATTCCATGTCTTTGCTATTATGAACAGTACTGCAATGAACATTTGCATGTATGTGTCTTTATAACAGAATGATTTATATTCCTCTGGGTATATACCCAGTAATGGGATTGCTGGGTCGAATGGTAGTTCTGGCTTTAGATCTTTGAGGAACTGCCACATTTTCTTCCACAATGGCTGAACTACTTTACATTCCCACCAATAGGGTATAAGCACTTCTTTTTCTCCACAACCTCACTGGCATTTGTTATTTTTCGACTTTTTAATAATAGTCATTCTGACTGGTGTGCAATGATATCTCATTGTGGTTTTGATTAATTTTTCTTGAATGATCAGGGATATTGAGCTTCTTTTCATATGCTCATTGGTTGTCATGCATTTTCTTAAGTTAATATATGCACAAATGCAAGTCAATCATTTTATCCAGAGCCAGGCATATAGTAAGAGTTCTAGAAATGATACCTTTTATTATTGTTGTTGTTACTATTGTTTTTTATAATTAGTAAAATACATGGCTGCTATGGTTTGAATATGTCCCCCAAAGTTCATGTGTTAGAAGCTTGATCCCCAGTGTGGAGGTTTTTGGAGGTGGAAACTTTAAGAAGTGTTTAGGTCATGAAGGCACAACCCTCATAAATGGCTTAACACAATTATTGAGTAGTGGGTTTGTTATTACAGGAGCTGATTCCTTATACAAGGACAAGTTAAGCCCCATTCTCGTTCTCTCTCTCTCTTTTTGCCCTTCTCCCATAAGATGACACAGTAAGAAATCCCTTACCACATGCTGGCACCTTTATATTGGACTTCCCAGACTCCAGAATTGAGGAATAAATTTCTTTCTTTATAATTTTCCCAGTTTGTGGTATTTTGTTAGAGCAGCACAAAGCAGGCTAAGACAGGAAATTGGTATGGGAGGAGCAGGCTAGAAAAAGCCTAGATTGCCACAAATTTTGTATTAAGAGTGATTCCACTGAGGTCTCAGGCGAGGATAACTGTAGGGAAAGTCTGCAACTTCTTAGAGATTACTTTTATGGTCCTGATGAGAATGTTGGTAGACATATAGAGAGTAAACGCCATTCTGATGAGGTCTCAGGTGGAAAAGAGAAATGTCTTATTGGAAACTGGAGTAAGGATCATCCTTGTTATGAAGTGGCAAAAAAACTTGGCAGAATTCTGTTCATGCCCTTTGGCTTTATGGAAGGCAGAATTTAAGAGAGGTGAACTACGATATCTGATGGAAGAGACATCTCAGCAGCAAAACATTCAGTGGGCTCCATGGCTTCTTTCAAGCACATATAGTAAAATGTTGAGGAGAGAGAAATGATTTAAAGATGGAATTTATAATGAAAAGTGAAGACTAATAGAAAAATTTGGAGAACTCTCAGCCTGGCCATATAAAGAATAAAAAAGCATGTTCGAGAGAGAATAAGAAGGGTTTGGCCAAGTGGTCATTTGCTGAAAATATTAATCTGGCTAGAAGGAAGCCAAGTTCTATTCATAAGACAAAGGGAGAATGACCTGGAAGATATTTCCGAGATCATGGAGTTAGGACCAGAAGTTACGCAAGTTAGGACCTTAAGGTCAAAGCTTCCAGAGAGGTGCCTGAAAGACCTCAGCATTCACTGCCCTGTGCTGCCTCACAAAACCAGTCTGGGAGATCTATAGGCACAAAACTCCAACCTGTGAGAGCTGCTCAGGAGTGAACTGAGACAAGCAAAGCTGTGGAGGTGAGGCTGCCTGGGAAATTGGGGGCCCAATCCCTGACCCAGTGGGTCTAGAAGGTGGGACATGGAGTCAAAGATTATTCTCAACCCTTAGGATTTAATATGGTTTGCCCTGCTGGGTTTTGGACTTACTTAAGGCCAATTGCCCCTCTTTTCTTGCCTATTTTTCCCAGGAATGGAAATGTCTTTCATATGTCTGTCCCACCACTGAATTTCGGAAGTGGGTAACTTGTTTTGATTCCACAGGCTCATGGCTGGAGAATTTGCCTCAGGATGAATTGTGCCTTGAGTCTTATCCATATCTGACTTGGATGAGACTCTGGAGTTTGGATTTTTAAGTTGGTGCTAGAATGAGTTACAATGTGGGGGCTACTGGAAGGGAGGAAATGAATTTTGCATGTGTGAAGGACATACCTTTGGGGGCCCAGGGGTGAAATGCTATGATTTGAATGTGTCCCACAAAGTTCACTTGTTGGAGACCTGGAGGTATTGGGAGGTGGGACCTTTAAAAGGTGTTAGGTCGTGAGGGCATTACCCTCATGGATGGATCCATGCTGTTATCACAGGAGTGGGTTTATCACATGAGTTGGTTTCTTTTAAAAGTGTGAGTTTACTCTGTCTCTGTCTCCCTCTCTTTGACGTTCTGCCATGGGATGATGCAGCAAGAAGGCCTCTGCCAGAGGCTAACACATTGATATTGAACTTCCCATCCTCTCAAACTGTGAGAAATCAGTTTCTTTTCTTATAAATTACCCAGTTTGTGATAGTCTGTTACAGCAGTACAAACAAACTAAGATAATCCCTGAAGTTGTATATGATTTCTCCCTTAGATATTATTTGGTTTCTTCTCAACTAATTTCTTGGTTCATTTCTAAAATTATTCAGGTATTTCAAAAGAGATATAGTTGAACAAGTGGACATAAATAGCATATCGGTTAGTACCCTCACATTGGCAAGAACCATTCTAATTAGTACCAACATCCTTTACATTAACATACGAAGGGCAAGTTCTGGCAAACTAAAATCCTTTGCAGTTCAGTTCTTAGACTTATTAGATAAGAGAACATAAATGTTTTATACCTTGACTCCAGTAATGCTTCAGGTATAGATTCCCCTGGTACCTGTGGACAAAACAGAGAATAAGGGCTACAGTATGGTACAATCCACATTTGTAAATTTGTAAGTGGTCAAACCACTACTCTGCCCATTGAAAGACTATAAGGCATGCCACACATCCTCTTCCTCCTATTCTGAACAAGATTCTGACCAAGATTTTTCTCACATGCTTGGATGAAGAGACTTTTAGATTGAATTTTAATATTTACGATCTGTAAATTCTTCCTCTAGATCTTCCATAGCTAAAGATACAAATGGAAATTCATTAGGCAAAGAAAATGCAAAAAGAGTAACAATATCGGTCTGTGTTTGCATAATAGTGAAGGAGAAACTCTCTTGTTACCCATCACCCCACATGGAAAAGTACAGCCCATAGGTTTTGAAAAAGAAAAAATACTGAGTGACTGGACTAGGTAAAAGGAGCAGGGCTGGTCTTTGTGGAGAGAGGGGATGGCTGATATGATATTAGAGGTAGTTGCTTTAGACTGGAAGACAGTCTATAATTAAGATACCAAGCAGGAAAACTGAATATATCCAATGACACAGTCAGAGAACTTAATGTTCTTGAATAATACGTAAAATGAGAAAAAGAGTGTGATAATGGTTTAAATTTTTTAAAACTCTGGAATGTTTGATTATATTCAATATGTATTAATTATAAGCTAATTATATGGGCATAAAAGCTAAGGTATTTTCAGACTTAAACTGTTGATGGTATGAAGAAATGCAAAAGATGTTTGCAGATTTTTGCAGATTAAAAATTAGCTCAGCTAATTTTGCTAAGAATATTTGTGAATAGATGCAGAATTGTATCAAATTTTTTTCTGAATGTTTCTCCTTTAATCTGTTAATGTACTGAATTACATTAATTGGTTTTCTAATGCTTCATTATTGGGGTCTCATTGACTCTTTAATCCATGGTAGTTTGCTTTGTCATCAGTTGAGCTGCTCTTGCTAAGTTAACTAAGTAGTTCCTTGGTCCTCAATCTAGTAAGTGACTTTTCATTAATATCATGAAGTACTGATTACCCTCCTTGTAACACTCCTTGCTCTTAGTAGCTTTGAAATCCTAGTCTCTCGGTTTTCCTCTTCCTTCTGATGGCTTCTTAATTTTTCCTTTGGTTTCTTTATTGTCTAGTGTTCCTCAGGGCCCTTGGAGCGCCTCACCTCTAATAAAATCAAATATGTGTTGATGTTCTCCAAACCTCCCCATGTGGTCCAAATTTCTTTTCTGAGCTGCAGTCACAAATATCAAAGTGCCTACTCCAACCTTCCACTTCGATGACTTTACAGATACTCCAAAACGTTCAAAACAGAACTCATCTTCAAACTTTTCTTCTTTCTCCTACTTTTTGGCTTCTAAGCCTATTCTTCCTCCAGTGATTCCCTCAGATCACAGTACCACATGCATCCAGCAGTGAAAGGAGAGCCTAAATGCATTTCATTGCAGACTCCTCCTCCTTTTTCTAGCCTCCAAATCCATCACACAGACTATTGATTCTTTCCCTTAATTGTTTCTCATAGCCATATATTTCTTTCCATCTCTAGACACTAATTTGGCCGAAGCCATCATTCTCCTTCCTATGATATTGCTACATTTCTTCATTTTCATTCAGCCTTTGTCTCAGAAGCTCCCTCCTTTTTCTTTCTTTGTCTCTCTCTTCCTTTCCTCTTTCTCATTCTCTTCCTTCCCTCCCTCTTTTCTTTCTTTCCTTCCTTTCTTGCTTACTCTTTTTCTCCTCCTGTCTTACTATAATTTTAAATATCTGTCCTAAATGAAAATATTTTTGTTCATAGGAAATAACTTACCAGTAGTTCTTTATACAACATCATTCTTAAAATATACACTTTTAAATGTTAATTAATAGAATTTAATTGAGGAGTATGACAGCAACATTAAAAAGGTCCAAGTTTTAAAAATGATTTCATTCATTTTTTGGGTTAATTTTTGTCTGGCAACACTTGAACACTAATTTCTAGTAATAGAATATCTGTTTGCTGACCATAAACCAAGACACATAATCTGTAACTCTGAGTTCAATTATGGTGCATTGGGGGTTTTTGTCAAAATAATTGTTCCTAGAATGTAGAACAAATACTTTTGTTTCCTCTTTCCTTATTTCATCTAAAACAATTTTCTACCTGTCTATTAAGGCTAAATTGGTAGCAATATATCTCTTGCCAAAAAAAAAATAGAACATATATAAAACCAAGGTAAAGAGCAAAACCATGTTTAATTTTGAACAAGTTACTATAAGATACCTGAGGAACATTTAGACTGAAATATCAGTAGGACTTTAATTTCAAAAAAGTAGTTTGGGTTTCGGTATCTTTCGGATATTATTCAATGAGTTCAAAATATGACTTGAGTTTCCTCATGAAATTCTAAGTATTTTCCAGATCCAAAGCAAATGTCACCCCCCTTTTCTCCCCAACAGTAGTGTTTGTAGTTCCCTTTTCTGCTTTAATAGCACATTTTATTCTTGATTCTGTCTCATTGTTTTTTTCCTGTTTTCACTATTTTATAGACTTCTTAATGCTTTTTTTTGTGGTAAATATATTGCATTTGCATAAGATCAGAAACACAGCAGGCACTTATAAAATATATTCGTTGAATAATAACAAAATTATTAGATTATATCTGCAGCTTCCTCTGAAAAACAATAAAGATATTTGGATCCAAGTGGTGTAGTTTTTCAGGTGAGCAGAAATGTACAAATCAGAGAAAGGGGGGGAATCCAGTCTATATTTGCATATTAATATACTTGACTTTATCCTTTTAATCATTACCACAAGTGGAAAGTTTCAGCCCATGACAATGATAAATGGACACAGAAACTGTTTGGTTTAGAATTCAGCAGCTCTTTCAAAGAAATGAAAACACTCCCGTGAAGGTATGTGAGACTGCATCCCTTAGTAGATCTTTTGGGATTAAGATCAGAATTATAGTAAAAATAGGCAAAGACTTCCTTAAGTATATGAGACTCTATCCAACAGCAGAAGGTTCTGATCAAGACTGGAAGTGCAATAAAAGCAATGAAGATAAGTATCAGATATGAATGCTCTTCTGCAATGGTTTGATTGTAAATTTATTAATGATACAAAGTATTAAAAACTTGGATTTTTTTGTCTCTGGAGATGGCCACCGAATTGGACAAAATCTTTCTGATTCTGGCAATAGCAGAATTCATCATCAGCATGCTGGGGAATGTGTTCATTGGACTGGTAAACTGCTCTGAAGGGATCAAGAACCAAAAGGTCTTCTCAGCTGACTTCATCCTCACCTGCTTGGCTATCTCCACAATTGGACAACTGTTGGTGATACTGTTTGATTCATTTCTAGTGGGACTTGCTTCACATTTATATACCACATATAGACTAGGAAAAACTGTTATTATGCTTTGGCACATGACTAATCACTTGACAACCTGGCTTGCCACCTGCCTAAGCATTTTCTATTTCTTTAAGATAG